>NC_000010.11:80597640-80749155 GCF_000001405.40 Homo sapiens
GGGCAACAGAGCGAGACTCCATCTCAAAAATAAATAAAATAAAATAAAATAAAATAAAATACACGGGGAGAGAGTGAATCCCTTTCAGAAGGGAGAGCATTTGGAAAGGCCCTGCAGAGGAAATGGCATTTGGTTCAGGGAAAATGGGTGGGCGAAGAAGGTGGGACAGGGTGTCATAGCAGAGGGAACTGTGTTGAGCAAAGCAAGATCATTGTGTGCATAGGTCATGGCACGTGTTGCAGTGTGGTGGCAGCCTGGGGTTCTGGTGATGAAAAATGAGGCTTGAAAGATAAGATGAGAAAGAGTTTAAAAAGCATTCATTTAAATTCAGGATGAAAGAGGAGGCAGGTGGAAAGAGGAGGCAGAGCAAAGGTTTATACTGACAAAAAATCGTGAACCATTACAAAGTTGTCACCCGAAGCTACTGCAGTGTGTGGGAAGGAGCACTGGACTGGGAGTCCTGTGCTAGCTCTGCCCACTTACTAGTGTGGCCTTGAGCAAGCTCTTGCTCAGTTGCTCAGTTTCCTCATTTGTAAAATGGGGTTAATCATGTTGAGCTGAGGCCTGTTGGGAGGGTGAAATGAGAGAGAGGAAGTAACAGTGCTTTCTAAGTTGTAAAGGTCTGTGTTCATGAAGTGCTCTTCTTTTTTAGCTACACAATGGGACGGAAAGTTAAGAGCAGGGCTGGTTTCTCATTAGGGATGGAGAATGGAAATCGTCTGGCCCAGGAGCTGCTTGATTGCTCATTAATGTACGGTGTGGCAACTGAAAATGGGAAAGCCTCTGAAAACAGAAAAGATGTGATCATTCAGGCCCTGTGGTTTTAGTTCCTCATCTTAGCCTTTCTTAAAGAATGATGAGTTAAACTCCAGAGCCTGTCATTCACATTCAACAAAACCATTCTGCACTCAATTAATTTAATATGAAAGATATAGTGGGCCATTAATCTATGGGGGAGCAGCAGTTTTTGATAAAACACCCAAATTAAATTTTCCAAGTTAGAAAAAAGGGAAATTATCCCATTTAGTATCACTTGAATACCATTAGTTATTCAGTTCAACAGAGAATTCAGTCAGTTATTCAGCAGAGCTCTGGCTTCTGAGACTCTCTGAATACATCAGGCACAGAAATTCATTTCATAGTTTTTCAACTGTGAACTTGTAGGAGTGTGGAGTTAGATAACATCTAGTTGCCCAGAGATTTAGAGATGAGCTAGCCTGACTTGAGAAATGATATTATTTGTAAAAACTGGACATTTATCATTGCTACTGTTACTAGGTTAGAAATGTAAGCAGGACTTTGGAGTTGTCAGAGGGACTTGTGTTCACCTGTGGCTCCTTGACCTGTGTCATTCTGGTTGTGGCCTTTAACCAACAATCTGCACACTGGTTGTCTCACTTCTTGCCAGGTTTTTGACAGAGCGGAGTGGGAAACGTGGGCTCAGGCCCAGGTCAGGGTCCAGTGATATGGGTTCCATTTCCTTTCTTCTTAAAAAGGAGTGCGCACCAGAGTCGGGGTCAGTGATACTAAAATGCTGTAGGCTTGAGACAGGTAGAGCCGGAAGGGGCTAGTGGGGGTAGAGTCTGGGCTGGGAGTGGAGTGGGCACAGCAGAATTTTGGGCTGGGAGGACAGCTGAAGGAGAAGACAGAAGAAGGGCTTTCTCTATCCCTTGATGGGATGGGACATCGTGCAGTTTCTCCTTGGACATAACTGACTTGAAACTCTCCTTGAACTCTAGGTGCCACATATTTTTGGTGTTATAACTCAGAATAATGCTAGCCTGAGCTCCCATGTGGCCGATTAGTGTCCTGCTTAGGGTCCTCTCTCCTCTTGAATTAGCTCAGGAATCCCTGGGGGCTTTATGGTTCCCCAAAGCTGAGTCATTACAACATTCACATGGGTGTGAAGTGCTCTGGTCTTAAGGAACTCCTGCAGTGGCTCCTGGAGGCCACAGGGGGTCACTGTTGGCAGCCATCAGGCGTTGCCCGCAGGCTTCAGGACCACAAGGGTGGTTGGCTGCCGACCTCAGAAGCCTTGGATAAGGGTTGAGAGAGCCCTTTCCCTTGGCCCAAGTTTAGCTGTTGTCGAACTTTGCTTACCTCGTCTTGAGTGCCAAACCCATTCTTCCACCAAGGGACCATGGCTCCAGCAGGCCGAGTCACAAAAGGCCTGTGTGATACCCTTCAGCATCTCGGCTGCCTGTTTTCCCTCCCTAGGGGTCAGAGGCTTTTCCTGCTCACACTTGTTTTTTCCATTCTCTGACAAGAGACCCTGACTCCACACATCTCCTCTGCTCCCACATCACTTCCCCACCTCCACTCAGGGATGGACCCTTTCTAAAGGTGCCATTTCAGCTTCTTTATCTCACAGTAAACACGACAATAACAGATAATATTTAATAAACCTAGCCCATGCCAGGGCTTTCCAAGCCCGCCATGTACTGTCCCATTTACATCTCAGAGCAACCCAGTCAGGCCCCCACTTTATGGACAAGGAAAGAAGGTGTAGATAAGGTAATTCAGGTTGCCCAAGATCACACGGAGCAGAATTTAAACACATGCACTTTCACATACAATTCAAATCTTTACTGATTTCTTTCCCCATATTATAGGATGGTTCATTAATTTTCAGGGACATTGTTCTATTCACCCAAGGGATTACTACAAATTAATGTTGCTTTGAAGCATGGAGTTTCTCTGCAGGATGTAACCGGATCATCTGAATTCTACAGGACACTGAGCTTTTTCTGTCTGGGCAGGGGAGTAGGGTGGGCCTGAGATTTCTGAGCTGACCCGGTTGGTCTGAGTTGGTGAACACAGCTGCACAGAGGCAGGTTTGTAGCTTGGTGGGAGCGTGGTGGAGCTACAGTGCAGAGTGGCATGTGTGTGTGTGTGTGTGTGTGTGTGTGTGTGCTGGGGAAGGAGCCCACTGAGCTGAGAAAGTAAGGAAAGTAGGCAGGGCACTTCTCAGGGCCTTACCTGGCAGGCCAAGGTGTTTGTATTTTCTGTGTGCAGTGGGAGCCACTGAAGGCTTTTGAGGAAGAGAATGGTAAGATTAGAGCTGGGCTTTAGGAGAATGGGTTTAATCTTTGTGTGACAAATGGCTCAAGGCCCCACCTGTCTGAATTCCAAAAACCCGGCTCCCTAGTCTGCATACGATTTCCTTCTGTAGCCTGCCTGCCTGTCTGTCACTGAATGTCACTGTCTCTCAGGGGCTGTAATCTTCCAAAAGTCACGGTCCTTGTAGGGCACGAGCTTCTAGTTTTTAGTTTGCAGTCAAATGTCTGCAAAGCCCATCCCGGGGCATCCTGACCTTGTTGGAGCCTTTCGTCACAATACAAGGCTGGTATCATGGTGTTCTTAGGGTCTGGAACTTACAGACCTCCCTTTTGAGTTTTAGAAGCCGCAACATACGGATGTCTTCTCAGGGCCACTTGGCAGACACAAGGCCCTTCCTTGAGGAACACAAAAAGTGGAAGGCCAGAGAGAGGGGTGTCTTGGAGTCTTGTAACATAAGGAGTGACAAACCACTGAAACCTCAGTTTTCTCTCTGGAATGGCCTCTTCCCTTTTCTTTCTCTGGAAAACTCTTATTGATCTTCCCACACCCAGTCAAATTATTTCCTGTGATGGCTGCTGGCTCCCCAGCAGAATGCGAGGCTGCTGCCCCTAAGCTCTGACAATACTTTATTGGTCTCTTTTTTAAATGATGCTCACTACTTTCTTCATTATGCTAGAGATATTTGTTGGTCTTATTTTCTCAACTTGCCCCTGAGTGCCTTGAAAGAAGGATTTGCTTCACTGTTATCTCTGTATCCAACTCAGGGCCTAGTGCAGCACTAAATACTTAAATTGAGTCCAATCAGTCATACAAAAATACGTATCGCCTGCCGACTGTGTTCTTGGCACTAGAATATAGCAATGAATAGACCAAAGCAAACTCTCCACCTGCCCTCGTGGAGTTCACAGCCTAGTGGATATTCTGTATGGGACACCCATGGGGGCACTTCCATAAATACCTTCTGAGGGACAGACTTCATGCTGCCTTCTTCAGATCTGGGAGATGTTCTGTTCCCAGAAAGGGTTCTTTGACAACTTGTGAAGTAGAAATGCTTTCTTTCAGGAACAGGTCTACTGACCTTTATCCTGCAAATACTCACAGTGCAGTTCTTGGTAGGTGCCTGCTATGCATGTCTTGAGTGGCACTGGAGTAGAAAGAAACTAAGATTTTACTCTGAGAAGAGAAGGTGACTCACTAGGGCTGGGGCATTAGCCTGGTGCAATTAGAAGAACAAGGCCAGCAAGAGGTTTTTTTGCAAAATAGTTGGATTTTAGAGGCAGATAGGGGCCTGCCAAGATGCAGTGAGACTACAAAATAATTGGTTTTAATTCCAGAATTTGCCTCTAATGGGTTTTGTTCCCTTTCCGGCATTTTCCAGGTCCCAGAACTCCCATTTGAGATTTAGAAGCACAGATATCTTTTCAAGGCCACTTGGCTGAGACAGGGCCCTTCCTTGAGGAGCACAAAAAGATGGAAGAGGTCGTGCGTGGGGGTTCACTCTTATAACCCCAGTACTCTGGGGAGGCCAAGGTGGGAGGATTGCTTTAGCACAAGAGTTCAAGACCAGGCTGCACAACATAGTGAAGCCCTGTCTCTACAAAAAATTAAAAAACTTAGATGGGCATGGTGGCGCACACCTGTACTCTCAGCTACTCAGGAGGCTGAGGTGGGAGGATTGCTTGAGTCCAGGAGGTTGAGGTTGCAGTGAGCTGTGATCGCACCACTGCACTCCAGCCTGGGTGACAGAGTGAGACCTTATCTCAAAAAATGAATATATACACATCTATTAATATATGTGTATGTGAAGACAGAGGGCTAGAGAGCGGGGTGTCTTGGAGTCTCGTAAGCTGTTAGAGTTAGCAGAAGATCCTCTTCCCCCTCCCTGCCCACACAGTCACCTACCAGCTCTCAAGGTCATGGGAAACCAAGAAAGGGTTCCAGAACTGGGACACCAGTGTTTCCAACAACTCATCTTGTGGTAGCAGGAAGGACAGTTTCTGGCCTGGTCCATTAACCCAGTTGGGCAAATTGCTGTCCTTCCTTGAGCCTCAGTTTCCACATGAATAACATGAGGAGGTTGGGCCAGATGGTCTTTAAATGCTCCTTTGTTTTTTAGTAGGAAAGAGCTCTGGTGTCAGATACACAGGGTTTTAAATCGAAGGTAGCTGCTTGAGTGGTGGGACCACGGGGTGGAAAGAACAGTGTGGGTTTTAGAGCCAGGCACACCTGGGTTTCTGTCCAGGCTCTGCTCCTTATGAGCTGATTTACTTTGGGCTAGTTACTTAACCTCTCAGAGGCTGGTTTCCTCACCCATAAAGCAGAAATAATGATGTTCCCTGCCTGGGTGGTTGGGGGAAGTCCCTTAGTGAGATAATGCAGGGAAGGCACCAAGCCCAGGGCTTGGCATTGTCAATGTGGGTGACGGTGGTAGTGTCTGGAGATGCTGGCCACCTTGACGGGTGAGCTGAGTGGGCAGAGGATTTGAGGAGCTGCTCTGAGCAGGGCACTCCCAGGAAGAAATAGATAGGGAGATGGAAATTTCCACCCCAAGGTGGCTTGGCCATTCTGGAATGGCGTCACAGGAACAACCAGACAACCCTAAACCGTCAGGGTATCTTTACCTCTGTAGGGACAGGCTTGCCCTAGGGGTGCTGCTAGGGCTGGGCGGGGCCTGCTCTGTCATTCTGGGTTCTGAGCTTCCTTGCAGCCAGGTGAATCCTGAGGTTCCTGGACTATTAGGTTGGTGCAAAAGTCATCGCGATTTTTTGCCACTACATTGCAATTACTTTTGCACCAACCAAATACTTCCTGTCCCAGCTGGCGCAGTGCACCGCCTGGGCTGCGGATCTGGGCTAACGTGCTGTCTTCCTCTTTCCAGTGCGCCGGTCCAAGGCGGCTGATGAGGAGAGGAGCCGCCGAGCCCAGCGCGCCCGGGACGAGTACCGACACCACTCGCTCCGTGCTATCCAGAAGGGCACGGTCGCTGGCCTCAGCTCCATGTTCCGGGAGCTTGGCCAGAGCCATGAGCAGGAGGCAAGACTCTACCACCACCTCCCCGACCCGGGTCTGCCGCAGCCCCTTGCCCTGCCGGTCAGGTGGGTCCAGGCTCCGTGTTGGTGTGGTTGGGGCAAGGGCCTTGGATTAGGGCATGGGACACCGGGGTCCCCGTCCCGGGTCTGCCCCAGATTTGCTGTGTAGTTTGGGGCTAGCATTTCCCCTCTGGACTTCAGCCCTAGTCTAGGGTAGGAGAGGGAGGAGAGATGTGGGAGTTGGAGATTTGTAATAACTTTGGAGTTCTGGGAGCTTTGACCTTTTTAAGGTCAAGGATTCCTTTGAGAATCTGAAGAAAGCGGTGTACCTTCTTCCCCCTCAAATATGCATATATAAAGATCTAGAATGTTTGCATACAATTTGAGACTCTAAGGGCCTCCGGCTAAGAACTTGTAGTGAGACCTCAGATGGGTAAAGCATGGCCGGGCAGCCTGGACACCAGGGCTTGCTGCCTGTCGGAGCCCCAGGCAAGCCAGTTTTTCTCCAATTGGAATAGTAGGTTTGCAGTTTAGCATGGTTGGTTGCAGGCGGGTCCTCACACACATTTGTGTCCCCTGAGGGTTTGTTTGGCAAGGGCACTTAGGTGACTGTCCGAAATTGCCAGGACCAAAGGTTAGGAGGTTGCAGGGAACCTCTCTTCTTTCTACCTGCCCCCACCTTAGGCCACCCCAAGGTTTGGCCTCTCTCCTCTTGGGTGCCCTCCTTCCCTCATCATTGTTGAACAACCACTGTCCCCAGGAGGGCCAGAGGCTGGGTGGTGAGCACCTGCCTGCTCCTTTAACCTCAGGTAATCTGCAGAAGAGTCCAGTCACCCCCAGATAATGAAGGGGTGTCTGAGTTTTGCTTTGCCTCTGCCTGCAGTCTAGGGACAGTTGATGTCTTCATTTCTTCCCCTCCCCCCTTCCCACCCTTTCCTTTCTTGTCAAGTATAAGATTCCCAAACCAGAAGGTTTAAAAAGGTATACTGAGAAATGGCTGACTCCCTCTCTCCCTCCATCTACTCCACTCCCCCTTCTTCCAGAGGTCACTACTGTTCTTAGTTTTTTTTTTTTCTTTTTTTGAGACAGAGTCTTGCTCTATTGTCCAGGCTGGAGTGCAGTGGCGTGATCTCAGCCCACTGCAAGCTCCGCCTTCCAGATTCACTCCATTCTCCTGCCTCAGCATCCCAAGTAGCTGGGACTATAGGTGCCCGCCACCACACCCAGCTAATTTTTTGTATTTTTAGTAGAGATGGGGTTTCACTGTGTTAGCCAGGATGGTCTCGATTTCCTGACCTTGTGATCTGCCCACCTCGGCCTCCCAAAGTGCTGGGATTACAGGCGTGAGCCACTGCGTCCGGCTCTGTTCTTCGTTTTTTATGTATCCACTCACTTTGTTTTTGCAGTTACCGTCATGAAAGGCCTTATTCCTCCTCTTTTTTTTTTGTGGAAAAGTTTGCATTTTATGCATGGGGTTCTGCACTTTGATTGCTTTCCCCTCATTTAACTAGTTTTTAGAAGGCTTTTCATATCAATTCTTATATTATCTATTTAGGCTTTTTTTTTAACAGGTGCATAGTATTCTATACAATGTGCTGTAAATGATCTTTTTATTGTGTTGTCTTTTCCTTATTGAGTTCTAAGAACTCCTTACATATTAGGGAAGAGGATTCTTTTGTCTGTGATAAACATTTTTTCTCAGTTTGGCACTTATTTTTTGATTTTCATATGAAATTTTTTGTCATGCAGGAATTCTTGATTGTTACAAGGTCAAATTTTCTTTTATATCTTCTTTTTTGTTTTGAGACGGAGTCTCACTCTGTCTCCCAGGCTGAAGTATAATGGCACCATCTTCGGTCACTCACTGCAACCTCCGCCTCCCAGGTTCAAGTGATTCTCCTGCCTCAGCCTCCTGAGTAGCTGGGATTATGGGTGCGTGCCATCACACCCGGCTAATTTTTGTATTTTTAGTAGAGACAGAGTTTCACCATATTGGTCAGGCTGGTCTCGAACTCCTGACCTCAGGTGATCCACCTGCCTTGGCCTCCCAAAGTCCTGGGATTACAGGTGTGAGCCACCACACCCGACCTCTTTTATATTTTCTAAATTTGGGGGCATAGTTAGAAAAGCCATCTCCTCATCTATGCTTTTTAAAAGAAACCTAGAATTTGTCCCTCAGGCCCATTTGATGGAGCCACATGGACCATGGTGCAACCTGGCTCTGGGCTGGCTTTGTGCAGCCAATAGGGGAGCAGTGGCCTCATCCAGAGTGAGCCTCAAAGGGGACAAGCAGCTGTGCATACAGGGCAGCAGGCCCAGGCAGTGAGAGGGCCCTCCTACCAGCCTCTCTCCTATAGCCGCCCCATGGGACGGGTGCCCATGGCCTCACTGCTGTCACCTCTGTGGCGCCTGTCAGCACACCTCATCTGTTTGTGCTAAGAGCAGATGCATGCCGCTGATGGGAGGAGAGGTTCAGATTCAGGAGTGAGGCTTTGGGCCAAGTGGCCTCGTGGAATACACATCTAGTATTTATACTCTTTTTTTTTTTTTTTAGTTTTGAGTATTTATTATCCTTATTTTAATAAAATTTATTTAATTGCACATTTATTAGATTTAACTTTTCTAAAAAAATTTGAGACTGAGTCACTCTGTCACCCAGGCTGGAGTGCAGTGGTGGTCCGATCCTGGCTCACTGCAACCTCTGCCTCCCAGGTTCAAGTGATTCTCCTGCCTCAGCCTCCCAAGTAGCTGGGATTACAGGCGCGCGCCAGTACACCCGGCTAATTTTTTGTATTTTTAGTAGAGATAGGTTTTCACCATGTTGGCCAGGCTGGTCTTGAACTCCTGACCTCAGGTGATCCGCCCACCTCGGCCTCCCAAAGTGCTGGGATTGCAGCCATGAGTCACTGTGCCCGGCCTGTTACATTTATCTTTTAATGATGGCTGTGTTTAACAACTGGCTTAGAAAATTCCTGAAAATTTAACAGTCAGCTCTTGTGGACCAGTATACAAGCTGCTCACATATCTTTTTACCCAGGCCCTACTCTTTACTGCTGGTATGACTTTGGCTAGTAATTTCAGTGCCAGTATCTATACTAAGGAAATTATCTGCAAATTGGAAAAAGCGCAAAGATGATTATCATAGCATTATTAATAATGGCAAAAAGTCAGAAGCAATGTAATTGTTTACAGTGAATTTTGGTTAAGTCAATTCACTGGAATGTTTTCTGAAAATAAAAGTGACTCCTTTGAAGGGTTTATAACAAGGGAAAATGCCATAGATTAGCTGAAAAAGAAAAAAGAAGTGAAAACTGTCTAATTTATATAGAATGATCAAAATTTTAAGGTATATAAATGTAGCATTTATATTCTGGGGGAGTCAGATTCCCTGCTTAGAAACTCTCTGCTTAGAAACGAATTCAAATCGACTGCTTAGAAACAGAGGGACAAGAGTGAGTGAATTTATTTTTTGCTGTTACATATAACTTCCTATTGCCTTCTAAGGAAAGCGAGTCCTAGAAACTAGAGGAGTTTTTCCACCGAGCACAGCTATTTTTTGGGGGATGCAAATGTGGAAGAAGAGGCTGGGTGAAGCAGGCTGCCCTGCACTGCTTAATGAAGAAGAAAGACATCTGAGGTTACTGAGAAGGAAGAGTGTGAGGACTGGGAACACAGGCTGGCTCTCTGTAGGGCTGTAGGGGGTAAAGGAAAGCCCAGAGTGGCAGCGAGTGGGAAGACAGGGGCTGGAGGCCAACTCCACAGATGACAGCTGTAAGCCATGCAATGTAACCTCACCCTCTGTCCTTCCAACATCTTTTCTCAAATCTACAGTGTTCACTACTGTGTGTGTGCATGCATGTGCATGTGTGAATGTATTCAGTTTAGGGCGAGTAAAGAAATGCCCCACGGATTTATTCTGGGCTTATAAGGAGGTACGCTGAGCACAGTGTCAAAGTGAGGGTACAGGGCAAATATGGAGACCACATGAGAGGACAGCTGACATTGATTTTATAAAAAACAAGGATAACCATGAATTCTAAATGCCAGTACTATTAGGTGGATGACAACAACAAAATAAGAATTTACCAGTCTCCTGTCACTCAGTTGGAAATGGCGAAGAGGCTTTGGTTGTTCAAGGTGGGCTGTTGCCTTGTTCCTCAGATGCTGTATTGTTATTATTATTTTGAGACAGAGTCTTGCTCTGTTGCCCAGGCTGGAGTGCAGTGGCACGATCTCAGCTCACTGCAACCTCCGCCTCCTGGGTTCAAGCGATTCTCCCGCCTCAGCCTCTTGAGTAGCTGGGAATACAAGTGCCTGCCACCATGCCTGGCTAATTTTTGTATTTTTAGTAGAGATGGGGTTTCACCACAACTCCTGTGCTTTTGTAAGGCAGAACCAGGACAGTGAACAGAGAGAGAAACCGGAGAACCTCAATTTGCTCTGGAAATGGCTGAGATTTCCTGCCCAGAAAATAGAAAGTATGACAGAGGAAATGGAGGTGGAAGGAAACAAAACCGCACATTGGTAACTATGGATGGAATGGGTGAGGGACTGAAGGCACAGAGGGCGGGAGGAGGAGGGGCACGGGAAGAGTTTAGATGAGGGAGCAGATCAGGCCAGACTGGTCTTGGCCTCCCAAAGTGCTGGGATTACAGGCGTGAGCCACCGCGCCCGGCCCAGATGCTGTATTTTTGTGCCATGATTTCATGCACCATGGTGTTACTGCATTGTACTTTACCACACAGTTGTGGGTGCCTGTCACGTGTCGTGTGCTGCCAGCTCTTAACTATGCTTTCAGTGTAGCCCGAGTGCAGGGGGGTCTCATGTGTCCAAGTCTATGTAAGCATCTGGGAACCGCAGTTCAGACACGAAAGCAATGACGAGCTTGGCTCACCTGTGAGAAAACTTTAAAACGTATCTACTCCCTCGTCTAAACTCTTCCCGTGCTCCTCCTCCTCCCGCCCTCCGTGCCTTCAGTCCCTCACCCATTCCATCCGTAGTTACCAACGTGTGGTTTTGTTTCCTTCCGCCTCCGTATCCTCTGTCATAGTTTTTATTTTCTGGGCAGGGAATCTCAGCCATTTCCAGAGCAAATTGAGGTTCTCCAGCTTCTCTCTCTGTTCACTGCCCTGGTTCTGCCTTACAAAAGCGCAGGAGTTGTGGCACAGGCAGGCGTCCCCTCAGAGGGCGGGGAGGGAGAGCTAAGGAGGGGACAAGACCCAGAATTGTTTCTGAGAGAGAGAAGGGGATGAGACACGCTCATTTACTTTCCGTCAGGAGCCTCCTTCATCCATGCTGGTATTTATGCCCTGGCCGTGCTCGAGGGAAAATGTGCCTTTTCTTTCCCTCAGACACCCCCTCCTAGCCTCTTTTCATTCTCACCTGTGTGGCTGTTTTTTGAAGCAATCGGTAACAGTTTTCTTTTAAATAAATAATAACAGATGGTACATTATAATCTGCAAAATGCCTTCGAGTACCTGGGCTGTTTTAATCCTCTTTGTAGGCATGGATATGGGCACCATGCTTAGCATATTCATTCTCTCATGGCCCTCCCCTGCCCCTTCTTCCACCCCCCCTTCCTCCTCCTCCTTTTACCTTCCTCTCCCTTCCTCTTTCCTTCCCCTCTGCCTTCCTCTCCCTCCGCTCTTTCTCCCTCCCTGACTCTTCTGCCCTCCCCACTTTCTTTCTCTTCAGCAGGACCTGGGAGCGCCCGCTGCGCCCAGTCTCCAGAGATGTCATCGTCCGCTGGTTTAAGGAGGAGCAGCTGCCTCGCCGAGCTGGCTTCGAGAGGAACACCAAGTTCATCGCCCCCTGGTTCCATGGTAGCACCATTTTTCTGGGCCCTGTGCCAGATGATTTCCACATCTTTGCCTCTCTCTGGGGTTGGGGAGGGGTGCTGAAGGACAGTTATAATCAGGGGGCAGAGGACTTTAAGCAATCTCCATTCTGTCCCTCTCCCAGTGGGAGTCCAGGAGGCTGCAGGCCCCAGGGATGCTGAACGGGCCTCCCAACTCTTCTGGGAAGGGATGAACATGGCTCTCGCCCACTGCTGTCACCTCACAGCCTCTGTAGCCACCAAGGGCCCCTCAGAGGCATCTTCTTTGTGGTCATAAGACAGTGAGCCCTGAGAGTTGCATGAGCTGCTGGTGGCTAGGACCCCCATCCCTGGATCCTGGCCACAGCCTGTCACACTGTAGGCTCTGGGTACATACTTGTTGATTAGATGACAGATGGCTGAATGAAGAGGTCAGTGTCACCCAAACATAGACTGTTAGGGCAGGGTGGCTCCTTGAAAGTCCCTCCTTGCTCACCTTGTTTCCAAAGCTCTGGCCTTTTTCCTGTCCCTCAAACAAGCCATCCTCTTTCCCATCTCAGACCTTTTGTGCTTGCCGTGGCTCTGCTCACATTTTCTGTCTTCCAGCAGCTCTTTGCATGGCTGGCACATTCTCATTTTCCATCTCAAACATCCCCTCCTCAGAAAGGCCTTTCCTGAACTCCTTACCTACAGCAGCCTTCCCCAGTGTCCCTCAGCTCACCCTGCTCATTTCCTGGACAGAGTGTGCCCAGTTGGTATTTATCAGATTTACTTATTGTCTGTCCTCCCACCTGAATGTGAGCCTGTGAGGTTAAGGAGCTTGCTTGTTTTCCCTGTGCCTGGCTCAGTAAGTATCCATGGGAAGAATGGATGAAGGTGGGAAGAAAATGTTTGGATTGGGATTAGATCCCAGGCTTTACAGTTCCGAAGAACAGCCCTTGCTTCTCTGCATTGAAAATCCAGAGCCACACATGTGAGGGTCAGATGAGCCTTCCCAGGTGGTCTTAATGCTTGGTGAGGTCAGGGACCTATGTATTAGGCCTCTCTGTATTCAGCCCTCACCCCTGCCTCTCACCCAGGGACCAAGTACAGAAATACCTCCAAGATGAGCTTGCCATCTTCCTCTGTTGCCACTGCTGTTGAGCTCTCCAACCCAATGAATAGCATCCGTGTCATGTTGGTCAGATTGGATATACCTCGGTCACAAATGCTTCTGAAGTCTCAGTGACCCCCACCAGTCAAGGTTTATTTCTTACACATGTTACGTGCCCTTTGGGAGTTGGTTCAGACTTTAGTCTGCGCCTCAGCCTGAAGGAGCTGCCTCTATTTAAAACGCTGATGGTTAGTCAGGCGCAGTGGCTCACGCCTGTAATCCTAGCACTTTGGGAGGCTGAGGCAGGAGGATCACTTGAGGTCAGGAGTTTGAAACCAGCCTGGCCAACATGATGAAAGCTTGTCTCTACTAAAAATATTTTAAAAAATTAGCCAGGTGTGGTGGCAGGCCCCTGTCATCCCAGGTACTCAGGAGGCTGAGGCAGGAGAATTGCTTGAATCTGGGAGGCAGAGGTTGCAGAGAGCCGAGATTGCAACATTGTACTCCAGCCTGGGCAACCAGAGCGAGACTCAGTCTCAAAAAAAAAAAAAAAAAAAAAAAAAAAACATTGATGATCTCATGACAGAGGGAAATGAGAGACTTGGAGAACCACACATTGGCTCCTAAAGCTTTTGCAGGAAACTGACACGTCAAGTTGTTGCTCACATTCTGTTAGCCAGAACCAATGTGGCGTCCATGGTACAGTGGATAGTTTCGAAGGATAATCTAGTCTGTTATGACCACCGTCCACTTTCAGACCTCTTTCTTCTCCCAGGTCACCACACATCTGGCAGAAGGTTGGACTGGCTCTTTAGGGCTCAGAGAGAAGACAGCACTCATGGCTGACTGAGCCATGTGTCCCTGGAGCTGGTGCTGGGGATTCTCTGCCTCTCCCTTCTGTCCCAGTTATGTGTCCCTGTAGCCCCGGTAGAACTTCCATTTAAGTCACCACTGTGCTTTTTCTTCAGACGTTACTATGGTCATGGAAGTGCAGCACTGGCATCTTAGGGAGCTGTGGAGTGTAACTCAGGAGTGGCACGTGGGTGAGAGTGGGCAGCTGTGCCGGGTGCTCCAACTGCCTTTGGCAGCCAGTGGAGAAGGTGCGACCAAGGTGCTCAAATTATTTTTAGCTTTGTTTTCTTTTTTGACTTTTTTTTTTTTTAAAAGGTAACTTTTATATTGTCACAGAACAAACAGAACCAAGATTTAAGTCTCACAATTTATGTAGCTAATTTCATGTTCTGACAGTTCTACCATAAAGCATGCAGAAAAGTTGCTGTTACACAGGCTGGAGCTATTTTGTGACAGAATTTTCACTGATCTGTGACAGAAGGAAAGAAAAAGGCTCACATATGGAGGGTGGCCAAGTAACTTTGCTTAGAAAGGACTGTGTCATATTCTAAGATTATATCCTTTCCTCAGTTTTAGTGTTAAAATGTCCTATCTTTTATGAATTGATGGGATAGTAAGTCATGGTTATTTTTATATATTGCCTTTGCTTGAAAAAGTAAAAAGTTAGCAGCCCGGGACCTCCCCCACTCCTGCTTTTTTTTTTTTTTTTCAACTTTACTCACTTATAAAATCCCAAAGTCTGGAACAGTGAGTGTGTTCCCACTTCTCTTTCAATATAGGAATTCCCTGGTGGAGGGGCTAGGACTTCCTCTGTACCAATTCCTACAGAGGCAGGTGGCCTGCACCAGTCTAATTTGTTAAGGAGTTTTTGCTGCAGGTTGGCAGGGGACTCGGCTCTCCCTGGGCTTGGTTGGGCGTCTCAGCTGGGGCATCTCTGCACCATGGATCTATTACACTCTTCTGGGACCAGTGGGCCAGCTCAGGCATGCTCTTCTCATGGTGACAGGACAGACATCAGAGAGCAACTGGAAGCATGCCAGGCTCTTGAGCCCTATTCTTAGAGCCAGCACCTTGTCACTTTGCCTTGTACCTCACAGAGCTGAGGAATGGGAAAATATATTCTGTCTTTTTCTTACGAGGAACTGCAGAGTCCTATGTCAAAGGGTGTGGCAACAGAGAGGGAAGAAGAATTTGAGCCAATAATATAATCTGTCAGAATCCCAATACAAATCTTTTCTTTCCCAGATAAAAGAGTCTTAGTTAATTCAGTTAGATTTCATATGCAGGTTAAACATGACTACTCGAATGATTTCCTTCCCTTTCCTCAAACACATGTGGATTTGTGCCAGTGTTATCCAAACAGCAAATAGACAAAGAATCTGAAGATATGGGGTCCATTCTAGAACTTAGCGGCTCTGAGACCTTGGATGTGTCCTTTAAATTCCCCATCTGTGAAACTGGCATTGTAACATCTACTTCACAGGACACTTACGAAGATTGAGCCAACAGGAGTGCTTTGTCCACCATAAAAAGCCATGCCAGTGTGTTTCCTGATGTTTCCTGGGATCTGGGGTCAACCACCAGAGGCTCCTTTGGGAAATCAGGTTTGGGGAAATGGGCACAGAGTGCAGAGTGAGAGGGGACTGGGAACAGGCTTTTCTCTGGGACCACAGGGTTCTAGGTAGAGTCTCCTGGGTTACAAAGAGTGATAGTAATTCCTTGTTTCTCCTTTGTTCATTGTTATGTTCCAGGAATTGGGAGAGAGATTGTAGTTATATCAAACTACTTGTGAGAAATGCTAGTACATATAACCTTGGCTTTGGGGAAAAAGGTATTTTCAAAATTCGACATGTATCTAAAATTATTAAGAATGTTCTCTGTCTGAACATTGGCTCAGTCAGAACCCATTTCTCTTCCTGAGCTTTACTTCTACAAAAACAGTCACAATGTGGTCTATGATTTATTGTCTGGGTGACAACCCATTGGCTGCCTTGCTGCTTGCCCATAGGGCTTGGCACAGAATGGGACTACCCGGTGGGTGACATCATTGGCATTGGTAAATTATCTCCATGTGACCCTGCTCAGGTGCTGGGAGTGGATCTCAAGCGTGGCCTCACCTGGGCTTGGGTGGGCCTTTGGCTGTCCTCTGTAGGGTGTTACTGGCATGCTTCTTCGTGAGCAAGCACAAACGGGGGACCCCACCTGGGAGGAGGATACTCCCCAGCCATGTAGACAGTGCAGGGATCCCAGCAGTGAGGGGCAGCTTTCTTATGAGATGCGAGAGCTCCAAAGTAGAATGGACACTTCTTCCCACCTGCTTCCACTGTGACCTCAGAATACATTCAGAGAAGAGCACTGAAGGTCACAGAGCTGCTAGGGTCTAGAATGGGCCCCACATCTTCAGACTCCTCCGGATTGCTGTTTGGATGACAGCACACAAACAAAACATTGCTGTGTTTGAGGGAAGGGAAGGAAATATAAATCACAGAAGTCATTTTAATGATTACTTCGGGAATGTTTATCTTGGAAAGGAGAAGCTGTGGGGAGGAATGGGTAGAGGAACAGAACCACCCCCTCAGTCTCTGGAGTTCTGTCTTGAGAAAGGGGGATTGCTAAAAAGGTCAAAACTGGGCTCCAGGTGTGTGAGGCTGTTTTTGTGTTGCTGTAAACAAATACCCGAGGCTGGGTAATTTATAAAGAAAAGTGGTTTAATTGACTCACAGTTCTGCAGGCTGCACAGGAAGTAGCACCAGCATCTGCTTGGCTTCCGGGGAGGCCTCAGGGAGCTTTTACTCGTGGCAGAAGGCGAAGCTGGAGCAGGCATGTCATGTGGCGAGAGTGGGAGGAAGGTGGGTAGTGGCAGGTGCCACACACTTAACCAGATCTCATGAGAACTCACTCACTGTGGTGAGGACAGCACCAAGCCATGAGGAATCTGCCCCCATGACCCAAACACCTCTCACCAGGCCCTACTTCCAACACTGGGGATCATGTTTCAACATGAGATTTGGGTGGGACAAATATCCAAACCATATCCCTGGGGATGGATGGGGATTCTGAAGAAACACATTTCACTTTAGTAGAAGAAAGAGCATTTTTGATGGCTGCACCTTGCTATTGGGCAGTCTTGATGGCTAGCGAACCCCCCAGAATGGGGAGTGAGGGCCTTTACACCCTCTGCTCCTGACCTCTGCCATGCAGTGTGGTTCTGAGGGCAAACACTGCTGATATTGCTCCAGGGCCCTGCCCCTGCCAAGCCACTGAAGTTTGCTCAGGTTGTCATGAACATTGGAAAGGTTGGCCGGGGCCTGGGGCTGGCCACAGGGTAGGTGCCTGGGAGTCTGTGGGCTGAGGACTGAGGATGTTCTCCACCCTGTGACTGTCGGACTTCACCTTGCTCATTTCTCCGTTGATGTTGTGTTGGTGGTATAGAAACTGAGGTGTAAGCAATGGTGATCCCCTCCTGGGTAGCCCTCCTGGGAGCCCTGTGGATGAGGGGCAAACCCACTGGCCATCCTGCAGGGAGGAAACCCCCAGAGAGGTGGAAAGAACTGTGCCCTGGGAGGCAGCAGCTGAGTGGGAATGGAGTTGGGGCTTGGCCCCTCTGACTGCATGCACTGGGAGGGAGGTCTCCTGTCTGAGCTGTATGGAGCAGGAAGGGGTTGGACAGGCTGGCTGCTGCTGACCTTTGCCATCCTCGGGCTTGATGCTGCCATGCAGTCCTGCATCCCATGGCACTGCCAATTACTGCAAGAGCTGGTCATGGTTAGCCCTTTACAGGTGACCCCACTGAGGACCAGAGAGCTTGAGAAACTATCCCACATTTGTCCAGCAGTCAGCAGGGGAGCTGGGATGAAAAACCAGGTTTCTGGCTCTTAGTTTTACCTATTCCATTCTGGCTGTCTCTTTGCATATACTGCCATCCAGGGATGGAAACTGGGACAGAAAAGTGCCCTCTCTGCATTTACAATCCCTTACTGTATATTCGGAGAACTTCTTTTAGGCTCGGCCTGGGTTCTTTATTTTAAATCTCACCCCTCCTCATTCCTGACCTTGGCAATCAGAGCTGGCACTGGTTTCCTGACCCAGCTTGAGGGAAAATCTGGGGATGCCCTGTTTGGTCTTTGGGATTACTCCCAGGAACTAGAATTTCTGGAGCTAAGAGGGAGAGAGTGTGCCAGTCCAAACCCCTGTTCTTGGCTTCCAGGATTAGTAGGAAGACAGGAAATGCTGGTGAAGATTTGGAATCTGTTGAGAGGGGACAGTTAAGATGGGGTTCTTGGGATCTTGGCAGTGTGGACCCAGGCACTAAAAATTCGTGTTTAGCAAGGAATTGCTGAAGAAACCAGGAGTGGAGAAAATAATAACACCCACTACGTAGTAGTGTTGTGAGGATTAAATGTATCAACATTTTTAAAGTGTTTAGAACATGGTGTCATGCAATAAATGCTTTGGTTTGTTATATGGAATAGACAAACATGGTGGCACATCAGGAACCGAGGCACGTGCAAGGTGGTTCATCTCTTTATGGCATACTAAGTTATGTCACTGCTATCACTCAGAAATAAAGAAAAAGACCTGTGCACAAAAGAAAGATGACACTGATTTAGCCTTCCAAAAAAAAAGTGCAAGTCTGAATTTTCTTCTATTATGAGTATGATACCCATCTTGAAATATTTTTTAAAAGTCATTAGGGGTAACGCAGGGGCCATTTGGAAGCTTGGTTAGCATGTCACAATCCATCATGGCAAGCGAGATTGCTAATTTTCTTCTCTTGGGCAGAATTTGGAATGGAAATTTTCTACCAACTCTGACCTCAAATGCAAAACTTTCTAAAGGAGAAAAAGAAGTAGGTCAGTTGACCCACTTTCCTCTTAAGTTCTTGCTTTAGCGGTTCCAACTGAAAAATAAAGGAATATTTTCCTTCATGTTTTTTTCAGGTGTGCACTGGCTATCTAGTCTCCAAAAGAGACTACAAAGAAGAATGAGACTATTTTTGCTGTAGGAAAGCGTAGGTTGTAATGGTGTTCCTGAAATTTTAACCCTTTTCTATCAGCTATCTGTAGTTCTGGTGTCCACTTTGCTTCCAAGCCTCGCATCCTGTATGGGGCTGTCTGTCTGGTGCACGAAGGTACCTTTTGGATCAGTGGCATCCCTGGGCAGAGGACATCTGACTTTTTACTTCTTGTCAGATGTACATTGGCTGGTATCTATGGGATGTGGTGGTTGGCCTCACCTGTGGGATTGTATTGGCTTTTTGTGTTTTAACTAATAATTTGGGAACAGTTACTTTGTGCTGGCATTGTGTCCAGTAAACCTTGAACATCCAGTATTTCACTTACTTCCCAAACAACTCTCTGGACTGGGTAATAATGGTAGCCATTACGTACATAGTGCTTACAGTATGCTGGACCCTCTTCTAAACATTTCTCATATGTTCATTGATTTAGTCCTATGTGACATCACCATGCACTTGCTGCTAGCATTAGCCCCATTTCACAAATGAGGAAGCTGAGGCACAGAGAGGTGAAGTCAGTTGCCCATGGTTATGTTTTTAGTAAGTGGGGGAGGTGGGATTCAAACCCAGGTGATCTGGGTTCAGAATCCATGCTCTTACCTGTGATGCAGTGCAGCCTTGCTGCCATCTCACAGCTGAGGGGAAGGTTCAGTAGCTGCTCCAGGGCACACGGTGCTCTGGGGAATCAGTTCCTTTCTAGGCCAGGTGGTCTCCTTGAGGGTGGAGAGGTGGCCATTTTCTTTAGGAGGTGCCCAGCCATCTCTGGGCTGTGGAGCCAACACTGCCCTGCCTTACTGCTAACCAGGAAAGTGTCTGCTCCTCCTGAGGCCGGTGCCACCCTCCTATAGAATTCCTGAAGAATGCCATCTGGGTTCCCATATAGTCTGCAAAGTCCTTAATGCAATTAGGGTAAAACAGGGAATTGTGTGTTTCAGATTGTTGAGTTACCTAGACAGGGGCAAGAGAAGACAGACTCCCTGAGTAAAGGCATGTAAATAATTCATTTGTTGATTATTACTGTCAAGTTTGTGTTGAGTGCTAAGTACAGGGTGTGTGGTGATGAACAAAACTGGTGCCTTCCCTACCCTCATGGAACTTACATTCACTTGTGAGAAACAACAACAAAAAATTCAAACTGATGTAACCTAAAAGAGAATTTTCAGCTCATAAGACTGAAAAACCCACAGATAGGTCTAGCTTCAGGCTTTGCTTGATCCAGGGAGCTTAGGCTTTTCAGCAACCAGACTCTCTCCATCTCTCAGCTCTGTTGTTTTCTATGTTGTTTTCATTACCAAGCAATGCATCAGCCTGAGGTTGCATGCCTGCATTCTCCCAGGCTCAAATCCAGCAGAAGAAAGGGCCTGCTTGTCTCTCAACAGCCCCAGTATTAGTCCCAATAGTCTGCTTTGTTGGGTCTGGGTTGGTCATATGTTCACTTCTGGACCAGTCACTGTGGTCAGGCAGGTGATCTGCCTTGATTAGCTAGCCCTGGGTCATATGATCATGCCTAGAGTAGGTGGGTGGAGAACACCCTATTGGAACTGCACAGACTGAGAGTACGTGGCGTCCCAAAAGGTCACAGTTCCCTTGCCAGAAGATAGCCACTGAATGATACTGGGCAGGCAAGACCAATCTGTGTTCACCACAGAGGGAAAAATAACCTGGCTTCTGCTCTAGCGAAGCTGTCAGTCTAGTCAGTGAGACTGATATTAAACAATCATGCCATAAATGTATACATCCAATGGAGGTCAGTATTATACAGGATCTTGCCATAGCCAGTTTCAGAAGTCATTTTACTGGGTGATACCACTCTCTCATGAACAGCAGCATTGGTGATTAGAACCTGGCAGGTCAGCTTGGAGCAGACATTCATAGGCATGGATATTGCCTCTTGTGCATAAATATATCTGGGACCAAGAAACTCGTCCAGTGAAACCCTTGTCTGAGCAGTTAGCCATGGTTAAATTTCATTTGGCGTTATAAAAAAAAGAAGGCCTTTGAGCTCATTCATCACAATCTCTGTGGCTTTAGGATGCTTTGAGATACTGTTGAGAATGAAGAGCTTAATAATTCCAGCCTCCTTAATGATACTGTCTGGAAAGTATGGCGGTCAGAAAGGAAAGTCACAAAAATGAATGAGAAATAGCTAAGTGGTAATGGAGGTGTTGTCAGCCGTTGAGGCGTAGCTGCGGTGAAAGCTTTAAGAAATATGCACGTCAGATAAATTGAGGTCCATAAAAAGTGAAACGTCGTGGCTGGCCTGCCTGCGTTTCTTTCTTTTGAGGGTGAAGTCCTAACCGAGAAATAAAAAGAGCTCATTTGGTTACTCAGGTTCAATTCTGAGCTAATAATTTCAGGGAACGGAATGGAGGTGGAGGGGCTGGGAACAGAATTCTGGGTTGGCTTTGAGGATTTGCTAACATACGGATTTATGGCTCTGTTATTGCAGAGTGTCTTCTGAAAGTATACTTACAATGCCTTTCCTTTCCCGGGGTGCAGCTGATTAGTGCCCATGGAGTAAATATTGTAATAGTGAACATGAAGTTGTTGGTGCTATCTGAGAACATCTGTATGGAATTCAGGGAGACGAATAGGGGAGGTGTCAGGAAGGATGCACCGGGATTTGTGCTCAGGGTGTAGTAACAGAGGAGTTAGGCACTGTTGGCCGCACTGAGGTGGGGCCAGCGGGGCTGCAGTGGCCTGCCTGTGATAGTCAGTGCTGGCACAGGAAGGGTGAAAGCAAGCCTGGACTTGTTTGTCAGGCCAGTGTTCCTCAGCTCTTCTGCATTCCCTGCCTTCTCATCTTTACTCACTGCAGCCTGTAACCATGGGAGAGAGGGTAGCTACCCTGAAGGATCTCTGTCCCTGTGTCACAGCCCTGTCCTGTTCTACAGAGGCCCAACCGGGAGTGCTATGGTCAGTATGGCAGCCTCAGGTGCTTGGGCCCAGAGAAGCTCTGGACACCTGCAGATGGGCCCAAATGTGTCTCTCCTGAAGTCTCCATCAAGGCCCCCAATCTAAATGCTGGGCTTCTGCCTCAGTTCCCTTAATTATAACTCTGTTCACTTCTGCCACTGACCCTTGGACTTTGTGGCTTAGGCCAAGGCCTGGCTGCAGCAGCCACTGTGGTCCTATCATCCATTGTCCTCCTGGGATTGTTTCACTTAATATGGCCAATAACTATGGGTGATACTAATGTAATTCCATCTGACCACTTAAGAGAGATTTACTTGTTCAAGATCAGGCCATAGTGGCAGAGAGATGATTGGAAATTGCTTTGTTTGGCTTTAGCACCAGCTTTCAACAGGATAGTATATTTAATCTCTTTGTCCTTGGGGATGGATCTACCCAAACTGAAAAGACTCTGTCCTGGAGTCTGGGCACACTTCCGTTTTGCAGATGTTTGCAGCCACTCCTTACCCTCCACATCAGGCTTCTTTGGGCATTGCTTCTTGAACTGTGGTCAGCCTTAAAATTGGTTAGGACTTGGAAATGATATCTTGGCTCATCCAAAACAGCAGTCTGCTGAGAGACTTCAGTAGGCTTTGTGGCAGGAACAGGTTATACAAATCCACACCTTGCCCACACGTTCTCCAGGTCATTGTGCATGGAAGGCTGATATGGTTGGGCTCTGTGTTCCCACCCAAATCTCATGTTGAATTGTAATTCCCAATGTTGGGAGAGGGACCTGGTGGAAGGTGATTGGATCATGGGGGGCGGTTCCCCCCCTTGCTGTTCTCATGGTAATGAGTGAATTCTCATGAGATCTGGTTGTTTAAAAGTGTGTGGTACCTTCCTTTTCACTCTCTCCTGCCCACCTGTGAAGATGTGCTCGCTTCCCCTTCACCCTTCCGCCATGATTATAAGTTTCTTGAGGCCTCCCAGCCATGAAGGTCATGGAAAATGGCCATGCTTCCTGTACAGCCTGTGGAATTGTGAGTCAATTAAACCTCTTTTCTTCACAAATTACCCATTCTCAGGTAGTCTTTATAGTAGTGCGAGAACAGAGCAATACAAAGGCTCTGGATGTAGAATCTGGATGTGGGTTGTACCTGGGGAGGACAGGTTGCTTACTGTCTAATAAGAGTACAAGCCTTGTGAATATGACTGACTTAAAAGAATGCTGCATCCCTATCCCAGCTCTGCCATTTATTAGCTACAAGACCTTGGCAAGTAACTCAGTCTCTCTTAGCCTGATTTTCCACTCTACAAAAATGGGGAGAATAAAAGTATCTACCTCAAAGAATTGCCACAAGGATTGAATGAGCTAGGGCTTATCAAGCTCTCAGCACAGTGGTTAACATAATGCCAGGATTCCATAAATGCTAGTTATGGGATTGTAATTCTAATTATTCAGTGATTTATTCAACACTCTTTATTGAGGGCCTAAGTTCCAGACACTATTCTAGACATGAAAATATAGTAGGGGAAAAACCCACAGAATTCTTGTTCTCATAGATCTTATGTTTGCAAAATTTTGATAATTTTTAAATAAACTCTTATGGAAACTATGTTTCTTGCATAAATTATACCATACACTACAGTTTTCTTGTTCTATAACTTTTCTTTTTATTCAGTTGTCAACGTTTTTAAGAGATTAATGGTCTATGTCCATGTAAGTGGTTCTCAACAGGGTGACTGTGCCACCAGGGGACATTTGACAATATCTGAAGACACATTTGATTATCATAACTGGGAGATGCTTTTGGCATCTAGCAGGTAAAGGCCAGAGATGCTGCTAAACATCCTGCAGTGCACAAGGCAGCCCCGCCGGACAGGCAAAATGTCAGCAGTGTTGAGAAACTACGTCTATATTTTTATCTACATCTCCTTCAGACTTAAATTTTTTCTAGGAGGAAGTGCAACAGATGGAGCTTCTTATTTACTTGTTTTTATAAGTGATCTCATCTTACTTTGGTCCTACATTTCCTGTTGATGACTAAAAATAAATAACTTAAAATTTCCCATTAAAGATAATCCTATCTCTGGTGTAAGAGTCTCAGTTTAACTGTGATTTTCTAGCAAATATTCAGTCATTTTAAGCTCAGAGTTCTGCTTCTCCTTGCTTGATGGGTCTCTCCAATGTCATTTGCCTTCGTCAAATGTCGTCTGGGTATAGGGAGAGCTCACAGCCTTGGGAGGATGCCAAAGAAAGGCCCTGGTCAGTGGCTCATCTATGGGCCTTGTCCTGTTTTAGCACATCTACTGCTGATGGTCCACAGCTGGTGGAAGGCTGGTCTGATTTCCAGCACAGCAGGGGTCTGAGGGTCCCCTTCCCTGCAGTGATCATCCCCTAAACATGACCTGGCCCTACCTTGACTCTTTCTGGGGTCTCTTTGCTATATAGCTGGGATTACAGGTGTGCACCACCACGCCTGGCTAATTTTTGTATTTTTAGTAGAGATGGGGTTTCACCATGTTGCTCAGGCTGGTCTCAATCTCCTGACCTCATGATCCTCCCACCTCAGCCTCCCAAAGTGCTGGGATTACAGGTGTGAGCCACCACGCCCAGCTGAATTTTGCCTTTTTTCTTGTGGCCACTTGGGGAGCTGGACCATTTTTAATTATTTCTACCTTTTAAGAAGTCCTAAGTGCTGAGAGTTGAGTTCATCAGCCATCCCTCCCCTGCCCACCCCCATGGCTTATTATCATCAGAAGACACAGGCTATTTCTTATTAATTTACTTATTCTCCTTCATTTTCATTCCCTTTCCTCTCCAATAAGCAGCCATTCTGATAGGCTTCACATGTATCTGTTGAAAGGGTTCTTATGTATACATTGTGTATATATCACCTTATAGGGAAGTTGTTCTGCTCCTTACTTTTTCACATGATGATGTTATATGTGATTTGACCTCGATGATTTTCTGTGGCTAAGTTTTACATGAAATTAGTTTTCCTGAATTTTTGCAGTTAAACGAGGGCCAGGAAAGTATTTCTAACTCCACGGAGCTGCTGCTTGTGTAGTTTTTGTGTAGTGTTCCCAAACAGGGCAGCTTGCTTTCTGAAGTCTCCAGGCTCTGTCCCTTCCCCATGGGTCTATACTTTCTCTTTCTTTCCTCTATTTGCCTGTATTTTGCTCAATTTTGATTTCACTCACAGTGGTGGCAGGTGGCCCTGGAGGGTCTCATGGTGGGCTCCTTGCACTCACCCAGGGTTGGGGAGGGCAGAACTCTCCCTATTTTCAGCTGCCACTCTCAGTTGGTCTCCTGCTTTCCAGTGAATTCTGTTGACTGCTCTTGGATCCATTAGCCACCCTTGTTGTTTATTTCTTCTTTCTCCTGTATAGACATTGGTATCATGAAGGTCTTGTGTTAGTGGTTTATTCCTACCACCATTTGTATTTGGGGTTTTCTCGGCCCATTTGAGCTGTTATAGCAGAATACCTGAGACTGGATAATTTTGTTTGTTTTGTTTATTTATTTATTGAGATGGAGTCTCACTCTGTCACCCAGGTTGGAGTGCAGTGGCGTGATCTCAGCTCACTGCAACCTCCTCTCCCGGGTTCAAGCGATTCTCCTGCTTCAGCCTCCCGAGTAGCTGGGATTACAGGCGTGTGCCACCACACCTGGCTAATTTTTGTATTTTTAGTAGAGACGGCGTTTTGCCATGTTGGCCAGGATTGTCTCGAACTCCTGACTTCCGGCAATCCGCCTGCCTCGGCCTCCCAGAGTGCTGGGATTACAGGCGTGAGCCGCCGTGCCTGGCCGAAACTGGATAATTGATAAAGAACAGAAATTTATTGCCTTACAGTTCTGGAGGCTGGGAAGTCGAAGATCAAGGCATAGGCAGGTTTGGTGTCTGTGAGGGCTCAGTCCTCGCTTTGAAGATGGCACCTTGAATGCTGTGTTCCCTCACAGCATAAAGGTAGAAGAGAATGAACCTGCTGCTTCATAAGGAGCCTAATTCCATCCATGAGCCCTCCATCCTCACTACTTAATTATCTCCTAAAGACCCCTTCTGTTAATACCATTATGTTGGTGACTAAATGTCAACATATGAATTTTTATGGGCACAGACCATAGCAAGGCTCGTGGGGATATCTCATGACCTAATTTGTTATAAACCTAGTCTATGGACTTCTGGTTTTGTTCTTTAGTTGCACTGCCTGTTCTTATTTGGAGATTTGGAGAGATTTTAAAATGATGTTGCTGCCCCTGTAGCCATCTTCCCAGAATCTACTCCCCTTACCCCATACTTACCTATATTTACATGAATCGTGAGGTGCTTTAAATATCATTTGTGTTTACTTAGCTCACTGAGCATCATGCCATTAGATGCATGCTGTGTGTGGCTCTGTTGTATTATTTCCAACTGCTGTACAGTACTCCACTGGGTGTATCCGCCTAATTTCACTGATCTACTCCCCAAGTCATGGAAACCCAGATTGTCTACAATTAATCATTTAGTTCCTTGCATTGGATCCTTATGGACCTGTGCAGTGTCTTTCAGCAGTGGAGTTGTTGGGCTAGAGGGTGCATGTGTACTTTATTTAACGACGGGGGCTGATGGCTCTCGGAAGGCTGATCTAGTTTCCACTCCCCCAGCCGTATATTAGGGTTGCTCTACCTGTGCGCTCCAAATCCCACTCTAGAATGTGGCAGAACTCCTGGATCCCCTCCATTCCTCACTGGAACTTGGTGAGGCTGGGAATCACCATCTTTAGACTTCTCTCTCTACACATACCATTTCTGCTTAGCTGTGGCTACATTATGCAGGTGCAGGGTAATTGCTAGACTCTCCAACAGAAACTAGGGTATAGGACATTCTGCTTTCAGCTACCTTCTCAGACCTTCTGGGGTGTGGGTTGCAGAAGAGGGATTAAGGACAGCTCCTCCAGTTCTTCTCTGCCTCTTCCCAGCTCTAGCCTAGAAAACGCTCTTTCCTTCTCTTTCCTGTCTGGCAGGGACCTTCATAGGACCTATCCTATAATCCCCTCTAGAATAGGTTTATAAAACTCTATGTTCAGATCTCTAAGTATTGCTCTGAATATAGAGGGAGTTTCTAGAATGTGAGAGTCACTTTTTATATCTCTGCCATTCCTGGCTTGCAAGACTACTGACTTTCTAGCCCAGAGTCTCAAACCTGGCTACATGTTAGAATCAACTGAGAATGTTTTCAACCATACCACTGCTTGATGTAACCCAGATGAATTAACCAAACTCGCTCTAAGTGGGACCTGGGCATCAGCCAAGGCTGAGAACCATACTTCAGGGACACAGACAACCAGCATGGAAATCGAAAACTGATTAGTGACTCTGTTGTTCTAGGTGGTAACCTGCACTGCCTCCAAAGGACATTGATCAATTTTGAATGAATGCCATAGCAGTAATGTGTGAGAAGCTGCAGAACAACAATATTAAAATATTTTTAATATTAAATATTGAATACTTACCATATATGTATATACATATGTGAAGGGCATAAAGAAAGCTTAAGTGGGAGCAGCACCAAATCCTAAAGCCCTCACCTGTGTGCTTCTCTCCATTGTAACCTCTTTTTAACAGATATGATCCCTATGCTGAATATTTTGTCCATTATTTCTTTGCTTCATTTATTGCTATATATTAATCTCCAAATGTTTAGCATTGTGAGCTTTTCAACCTAATATAAATGTCACAGTGTATTTATTTTTCAGTTATTTGCTTTTCTCATGCTTCATTGAGAACGTTTTTTTTTCTCATTCCATTTTTCCACCTCTGTTATTTGGAGATTTTACCACTCTCAATGTCTATCTTCCAGTGGTTAATTTAGACGATTTAATATGTACACTTAGCAGATTCTAAAGTTAATGCGGCTGTCCCTTGGTTTCTTTGGGGGATTGGTTCCAGGAACCCCTGTGGATACCAAGATATGCAGATGCTTAAGTTCTTTATGTAAAATGGCATAACATTTGCATAAAACATATGCATATCCTTCTACACTTTAAATTATTTCTAGATGACTTATAATACCTAATATGATGTAAATGCTATGTAAATAGTTGTAATGTATTCTTTTTATTTGTATTTTTAAAATTGTTTTCTTGTTTTTTATTCATTTTTGGTTTTGAATTTTTTTTCTTTTTCTTTTTTTTTCTTTTTTTGAGACAGAGTCTTACTCTGTCGCCCAGGCTGGGGTGCAGTGGTGTGATCTTGGCTCACTGCAATCTCTACCTCCCGGGTTCAAGCGATTCTCCTGCCTTAGCCTCCTGAGTAGCTGGGACAACAGGCCTGCACACCATGCCTGGCTAATTTTTGTATTTTTTTTGTAAAGACAGGGTTTCACCATGTTGGCCAGGCTGGTCTCAATCTCCTGACCTCAAGTGATCTGCCCACCTCAGCCTCCCAAAGTGCTGGAATTACATGTGTGAGCCACCATGCCTGGCCTGTTTTTGAATATTTTTGATCTGTACTTGGTTGAATCTGCAGATGCAGAGCCCACAGACAGGGAAGGCTGACTCTATATATCTTTACTCTCACCCTAAACAAAATTTTGAAACTCCTACTCCCTACTGCTAAGATATTGTCTAGTATTATAGTTCCATCTTTTTCAAAACCTCAAATTATCCATTTTTATTATTGTCTTGTAAGTCAACTTTTTTAGGTTGACCTGCAGTATCTGTGCTCATCATTTGTTCCGGTATCTCTGATTTTCTATCCAGGATAATTTTTTTTTTTCTTCCTGAAGTACATCCTTTAGAATTTCCTTTAGAAATCAACCAGCTCAAATTATTTTCTGAAGATTTTTTATTTTATTCTTTTCCTTGAAAGGTAGTTTCGTTAAACACAGTTATTTTTCTCTCAGCATACTTGAAACTTTTATTCCATTGTTCTCTGGCTTTTATGGTTGCAACTGAGAAGTCTGCTGTAAGGCTAATTATTTATTCTTTGTAGTGATTTGCATTTTCTGTCTGGTTGACAAAAGAAGAATGGAATATCTTTGCATAGTTTTATAGTATGTGTCTGTGATAATTGTTAACTATTCACTCTTAAAATATTGCCTCCTCTCCTCTCCTGTGGGACTCGGATTCTATATATGTTAGACTTCCCATTCCATCTGCCATGTGTCTTAACCTCCTGAGATTTAGATTAAGCTTCTCTCATGTTAGATTTATATAAATGCCCCATGGGTGTGTCATGCCTGGTCTTCATTCTGACTTTTCACTCATCTTGTCCCTTCTCTCCCTCACACCTCATTACTACCCCTCACTGCTTACACAGAATCTATCTGGCCTTCAAGGCCCACCTCACATTCCCATTCAGTGCCTCCACAGAGCCTTCCCTGATTTCTCAACCTCTTCCTTCTTGTTTATTTCACAGCATTTACCATCCTTTGCATGAGACAACATGGTATAGAACAGAGAGAGCACTGGACTTGGAGTCCGAGGACCTGAGTTCAGATCTGCCTCCACCACTTAATAGATTCTCTGTGACTATTAAGCCCTGTGACTTTGGGTGAATCCCTTCTTTTCCTGACATTCAGTGTCCTCAGTTGTGAACTGGTTATAACAGGGTTGATAGGAAGACCAAAGGAGAAGGGTCACAGAGGCCCCAGATCGTGCCTAATGCTGGCTGTGACATAAGCGTCTCACAGGAGCCTGAGTGTGTCGTTTAACCTCTGTGCGTCAAAATGGAAGCCATTTCTGGGAGGGTAGGGGTCAGAGAGCCAGATATCAATGGTACACTGTGAAATGTAGCCATGAAGCAATTCTTAAGTGAGGAAGCCCTCACTGAGCTGAAATCCTTGGCTCTGAACCGTAATCCTTCAATCCATTTTCCACACTTGAACATTCTTATATCTTTCTTCTGTATAGGAAACATCAGTGGCTGTCCGCTGCCCTCAGAATTAATCCTTTCAGTGGTATGGAGAGCCCTTTGGAGCTTGACTGCTGCCTATCGTACACCTCTGGCCATTGCCCAGCTCCCAGCTTAGCCCTCCCTCCAGCCACAAAGAGCCACTTGCTAATGACTTTTGCAATCTTCCCTCCTTGCCTTGCCCCCTCTTGTCCCTTTCTGGACTCAGTCTAAACATCACTTCCGCCGCTGGGCTCCAGAACTGGGTGGGGTGCCTCCCTTAGGTGCAGCCACAGTGCCTGAGCCAATAGCTTATGTGGCCTTTATCACCATTGCTCACAGTTAGCCTTTTATTTTTATATTACAAAATTCCCATCAATCTTCATTTCTGTCCAGAGTCAGAGCTTCTAGAAGGCAAGAACTGTGTCTCATTCACTGCTGACTCCCAGGTGCCAAGTTTGGGGCCCGGCTTCTAGATGGTGCTTCATACATATTTATTAAAGGGAGGAAGAAGAAAAGGAAGAAAAGGAAGGAAGCGGGGAGAGAAAATGTTCCTGGAAACTATAGGAAAAACAATGTTTACCATTGTCTGGGAATGAGAACTGGCTCAGAATCAATCTTCAGTTGCATTCTCCAATATTCATTCTAAAATTGTCACCCTGGAGCGTTGGCTGGTTAGGCTGCATCCCTTAGCCAGGCCCAGTCATTAGCAGAGTGAGGAAGTTTCAAGGACTCGGACAGTATGCTAGCTCCCCAGCTGGAAGGGGTGAGGTAGGGCCTTCCCCTGTTTCCTCAGCCAGGAGGTTGTAGGGTGCTCAGAAGAAGCAGAGGTGGGTGATGATTCATGCTTAATTCCCAGACCCTCTGTAGTTGGCTGAGAGGCAATCCAGGGGGAGAGAGAGATCAGAGGGTGATATGGTTTTGCTGTGTCCCCACCCAAATTTCATCTTGAATTCCCACGTGTTCGGGAGGGACCCAGTGGGAGGTAATTTGAGTAATGGAAGCAGGTCTTTCCTGTGCTATTCTCGTGATAGCAAATAAGTCTCATGAGATCTGTTGGTATTATAAGGGGGAGGTTCCCCACAGAAGCTCCTCTTTTTGCCTGCTGCCATCCACGTAAGATGTGAGTTGTTCCTCCTTGCCTTCTGCCATGATTGTGAGGCCTCCCCAGCCATGTGGAACTGTAAGTTCGATAAACTTTTTTAAATTGCCTAGTCTCAAGTATGTCTTTATCAGGAGCATGAAAACGGACTTATACAGAGGGCAAAGTGAATGGGGAAGGAAAACATAGATTCTCCTTGCAAGCATCCTATGCTAATTCTCTTGAGGGGTTGGGTTTTCTATGGAATGCTGTTTGCTATCCTGAACTATGAGGTTATATTACCTTTGGTTTTGTGCCAAATTGCAATTTTGATTTCTAGGCAAATGTATTAGGCCATTCTTGCATTGCTATAAAGAAATACCTGGCCAGGCGTGGTGGCTCATGCCTGTAATCCCAGCACTTTGGGAAGCTGAGGCGGGTGGATCATGAGGTCAGGAGTTTGACCACCACCAGCTTGACCAACATGGTGAAAGCCCGTCTCTACTAAAAATACAAAAATTAGCCAGGCATAGTGGCGCATGCCTGTAATCCCAGCTACTCAGGAGCCTGAGGCAGGAGAATTGCTTGAATCTGGGAGGTGGAGGTTGCAGTGAGCCGAGATCGTGTCACTGCACCCCAGCCTGGGTGACAGAGCGAGACTCTATCTCAAAAAAAAAAAAGAAAAAGAAAAAGAAATACCCAAGACTGGGTAACTTACTAATATATAGAAAAGAGGTTTAATAGACTCCCAGTTCTATAGGCTGTACAGGAAATATGGCCCTAGCATCTGCTCGGCTTCCAATGAGGCCTCAGGAAGCTTCCTATCCATGGTGGAAGGCAAAGGGGAAGCCAGCATATCACATGGCGAGAGGGGATGCAAGAGAGAGAGAGTGAGGGGGAAGATCCTACAGACTTTTAAACAACCAGATCTCACAAGAACTCACTCACTATCCTGAGGATGGCATCAAGGAGATGGTGCTAAACCATTTGTGAGAAATCACCTCCCACTAGCCCTACCTCCAACACTGCAGATGATAATTCAACATGAGATTTAGAGGGGACACACATCCAAACTATATCAGCAATATCAAAAAGGAGGCAGAATTCACAGAGACCTAGACAGTCTCCCAGAAATGGCCCAGCTAAGTTTATGGTGCTGAAGTCACCTTCAGCAGCCTATGTTTGAGAGAATTGAGTGTGTGTGTGTCAGGGGTTGTGGTGGGGGACACAGCCTGACAGTCCTGTGACCATTGCAGCTACCAGCACCAGGCAGTTTGCAGCACTAACACATGTGTAGAATACTTAGTGCATCCAATGCAGCTAGTTATATTGTATTAGATATTTATTGTGATTTTTAAGCACTGTGCTAAACGTATTCATGCATTAACTTATTCATTCTCAAACAGCCGTAAGACATAGCTATTAATATCAATACCACTTAATAGATGAGGACCTCAAACTCGGTTTCAGAGAGGTTGAAGTCACCTGCTCTCAAGGCTACCCATGGAACAAGTCCCGGGTTATGATTTGTGTCCATGCTCTTCATCACTGCTGCAGAATCCCTGCCAATGTCCCAGGCATGGAGGATGTAAAGATGAGTTGTCTGTGTCCGTCAGGTCTTCCATGAAGCAGAAGACGAAAGACTGATTGGAGGAAATGCCTGTGAAGGACAAAGGGGGAGGGTGCTGGAGAAGGTGGGGAGAGTCTTCAGAACACGGTACACATCTGACACCTGTGGAGGGAGAGAGGGAAGAAGGATGATTGGTAAGTGAGCCTGCTCCTGGAGTACAGCTCAGAGAAAAATCTTGGCCAGGCTGATTGAGAGCCCCAGAGCAAAGACTGCCTGCTAGAGGAATCTTGCTTTGGGTAGGAATGGTGGCTCTAGTACCCCTGTGCCCTGCCCTTGACTGGAAGCACCCTAGGGAGAACATGACCCCATGGAGGATCCTGAAGGGCATGATGCTGCTCCCAGCAACAGGTCTCTGTCTTGGAGGGAGGCCTGGGCTGCTTGCTCCCATGGCAGCCACAGGCCCCAGCCTTGAGCGGCTCATAGCCTATTTACTAATCTACTGTGGGGTTTTGGCAGGATGTTGTGAAAACCCAAATGTGGGATATCCAAGACAGTCTCCTGGGAGATAAAGGATTTCCTGATCAGCTGAGCAGGTTGCACACTGAACTGGGGGACCTGAGGGGTGGGGATAGTTGGGGAGAACAGAGGATTGATGTGCAGGCACTGCCTTTCCCAATCAAGCTATAGGCTTTGTGGTTTTGGCCCAGAGAGGCACATTTTTCTAATTCAGTTACTCAGGTCATCTTTTCCTAACTTGCACAAAGGTAGAGTGTAGGCTGCCCATAGCCCATGATTCTGGGGAGAGAAGAGGATGGGGCTTTCAATGAGGAGTCAGGGTCAGCTGGAGTGAAGGGGGCTGGGATGTGGCCTCAGTCCAAGGTCGGCTTGTGGGGAGCAGCCAGTACCAAACAGTGCGATGAGCCCAGAGGGGTAGGTTGAGGCGGGGCATAGAGCCTGCTGTCTGCTGTGCCTGAGCCTGGGCTCTGCTGGAAGTCAGGGGAAGCTGCTCAAGGGTTTTAGGTGGGTGAGACACATAACATCGTCACTTTGGTATTACTGGTCGTTTTGGCATGTTAAAAGTCAAGTCCACAAAATAACGTGTTGGCAAGTGTTGGAGGAAAGAGACCCCTTGCACATTCTCTTAAAGCATGAAAATACAAATTAAAATAGAAGTACCCCATAATCTCAGCAACCCCATTACTGGGTATTTATTCAAAGGATATGAAATCAGTATGTCGAAGAGATATCTATACTGCCATGTTGATTGTAGCATTATTCACAATAGCCAAGATAGGGAATCAATGGAAGTGTTTGTTTATTTATTAATGTATTTTTGAAATAGAGCCTTGCTCTGTTTTCCAGGCTAGAGTATAGTGGCATGATCATAGCTCACTGCAGCCTTGAATTCCTGGGCTCATGTGATTCTCTCACCTCAGCCTCTTGAGTAGCTGGGACCACAGGCATGTGCCACCATGCCCAACTAATTTTTTATGTTTTTGTAGATTCAGGGCCTTGCTATGTTGCCCAGGCTGGTTTTGAATTCCTGGGCTCAAGCGATCCTCCCACCTTGGCCTACTAAAGTGCTGGTATTATAGGCATGAGCCACCACACCAGGCCTAACCTAAATGTCTATTAACAGTTGAATGGATAAAGAGATGTGGTGTATGTGCACAATGGAATAGTATTTGGCCTTTAAAAAGAATGAAATCCTGTCATTTGTGACAACATGGATGAACCTAGAGGACATTATGCTAAGTGAAATAAGTCAGGCACAGAAAGACAAATACCTCATGATCTCACTTATATGTGGAATCTAAAAACATTGAACTTACAGAAGCAGAAAGTGGAATGGTGGTTACCGGGGCTGGGAGAGGCAGGCACTGGGGAGATGTTGGTCAAAGGACATAACATTTCATTTAGACAGGAGGAATAAGTTCAAGAGATCTATTGTACAGCTTGGTAACTACAATTAATGATATATTATATACTTGAAAATTGCCAAGAGAGTTTTTGTTTGTTTGTTTGAGACGGGGTCTTGCTCTGTCACCCAGGCTAGAGTATGGTAGCATGATCACACATCACTGCAGCCTTGAACTTCTGGGCACAAATGATCCTCTTGCCTCGGCCTCCCAAGTGGGTGTAGCATCTTCATGCCCAAGTTATTTTTAATTTTTTTGTGGAGATAGTTGTCTCCACAAAAAGTGTGGAGACAACAACATGGGCTATGTTGCCCAGGCTGATCTTGAACTACTGGGCTCAGGTGATCCTCCCACCTCAGTCTCCCAAAGTGCTGAGATTACAGGTCTGAGCTATTATACCCAGCCAAGAGGGTAGATTTTTAAGTGTTCTTACCACAAAAAATATGTGAGGTAAAGCGTATGTTAATCTTAAGTAGATTGATTTAGCCATCCCGCAGTGCATACATATATCAAAATGTCATGTACACCATAAATATATATAATTTTTATTCATCAATGAAAAAGTAATAAACGTTACAATAAAGATACTTGTTTAAAAGAAAAAAAGTTGAATCGTATATAATTTGACTGTAGTCTCCCACCCTAGTAACACTCCCCTCCTCTCCAACCCTAGCCCCGCTACCATATCAGCTTGAGGTGCTTGGAGTGGGGATGAGGGTGACATCTTCTGGTCCCTCTTCCTCCCAGGCCCTGGCCCTGCGTCTGGCCCCCCTTACTTATCTCCCTGCTGCAGCCTCTTTTAGGGCCCGGGTGTTCTGGTGTTGGGGCAGGGAGGTAGGTGAAGGACAGTGCCAACTTTTGAGGGATCCTGGACTTTCCCTTCCGGTCCTCTTTTGTCTGTCCCTACTTTTTTGCATGAAGCCCCCAAGGCCTTCTGGGGGGAAGCAGCGGGGTGCATCCTCCCTCTTGCATGGGCCAGTGTTTATTTTTCAGGTGTCCTGTGGCGAAAGGGCTCCTCACTTCCTTCCTTGTCTTACTCTTCTTCCTTTTCTGCTTGTAGAGCTTGGCTGGGGAGGGGTGGCTGGCTTGGATGCCTCTTGCTGTAAATCCTGGGCAAGGAGGAAATAGGTGGCCCCTGGTTGCGCCAATTGTCTTTAAAGGGTGCAGCATTTGGCAGTGTGGTTGCCTCTGTGTCCTATGCCTTGGGCACAAGGGAAGTCTCGAGTGTGCCCTGGGAGGCAGGAGAGTGATGGGAGGGGAGCCTGACTGCGGCTCGCTCGGGAGTGGCTTCGGGGATTGGGGAGAAGTCACAGGTGTGCTGAGCCTCTCAGGGTCATGGAGATGGGCAGCCCAGCCACTCTGTCCCCATGCCTGTCACTGATAGTGTGGAAAGGGTAAGTCCATGGGTGAGCAAAGGGACAATGTGTTGCAATTCACCTCTCCTCCAGAATAACAGATGCTAACAGGATCCAGCATCTCCACAGCTATTCTCTATGTATGAAATGAGTTTGAATACTTTATTCAACTTGAAAGTCATAACATACCTTCTAAGTATTTGGGTTATGATCATCTAAATGTCAAAGGACACTGGAGACCTTGAGGGCTTGGCTGGAAATTCCATAGCCAGGTTGGCAGAGGTCGGGGGTGGGGGTAATCCAGGTCTTCTGGCTTCCCCTCCTCTTCCCACCTACTTGCCTCTGGAACCTGTTCTACATCACGCCTCCTATATCACCCAGATGACAGCGGCTTCCTGAGAGCATTTCAGGGGATTGCTACCAGCATATCAACGACTCCAAGGCCAACCAGAATTCCAAATTGTGATGAAACTGCATTGTGTAGGAGTGCAAGTCCTTAGAAAGTTTTGATCTCTGAGCTGAAGTGAAGCTTGATTCTATGCCCCTATTAAGAAACTTTTTGCCTGGTGTCCACAGGTATTTGGAAGAAGTCTTTTTACTTTTTAAGGGAAACCCCTATTTTTAGGTGCTTATTTATGGTACTAGAGAAATAAGTGAGTTAGTCATCAGCAGCCATTCTGGACTAGTCTTTAAAGCAGGCCTCTTAAGGCTTTTCACAAGCCTGTTGACTTATATTTATAATCAATAATGCTATAATCACAGCTCACTACTAATTCCTTGCTTACCCAATTAATCCAAATCACCCTGGCTCAATGTGGAGGAAAGCATGCTCAACTCACGTCCTAGTAGAAACTCTGCCCCCAGGCTCACGGCGGGTGGCGCTGGGCCAAGATGCCCTCTCTGTGGAAGGAGGCATGTGCTTGGCCAGCCCTTGGGGCTCTTTCCTTCCTGCCACCCTGGACTGTGTGGATGGCATGTGCACTGAGCCACAGGGTGAGGGGCAGGGAGGAGTGGAGAATCGTGGGGGAGGCAGTCGCAGAACCTGCTGTGTTTTTTTGTTTTTTTCTATTTTAAATCAGGAATTATTAGCCGAGAAGATGCAGAAGCTCTCCTGGAGAACATGACTGAGGGAGCATTCCTGGTCCGGGTCAGTGAGAAAATCTGGGGTTACACCCTCTCCTACCGCCTGCAGAAAGGGTTCAAACACTTTCTTGTGGATGCTTCTGGGGATTTTTACAGCTTCCTGGGAGTGGACCCCAATCGCCATGCAACGCTCACGGATCTCGTTGATTTCCATAAGGTATCCCTCACAGGGATACTAATGGGGGGGAGGGGGAACTGGTGGAAATTGGAGCTGAAGAGAGAGCTAGAGCAAGAGAAGCAAGGCTGCTGGCTCTGGGCAGTGGGGCTGGAGGGTCTCAGAGATGTAGAGCATCAGGGCAGAAGAGACCAGAGGTTGTCCACACGGGGCCCGAGGGCCCACTGTTCTGCTCTCTGCTTCACTCTCTGGGGCATGCGGGCACCTCTCACCCTGGTCCTCAGGCCTCTTCTCACCTTGGGTACCTGAGTGCTCCCTCCTGTTAACACAAGGACTGGATGATCATCCCTTTCTCCAAGCCTGGGTCTCATCTCCAACTCATTCCCAAGAACGTCTCTCATGAGGACCTCCAAGCCAGACCTCTAGCAGCTTCTGAGAGTTAGCTGAAGTGCAGTAGGCAACCCTGTGATTAGAGAAGCTTTTCTAGTGGTGGAGTTACCATGTCTCTTATTTGAACTCCAGCTTAACCACTTAGTACATGTGTGACCTTGAGCCAGCACCTTAGTCTCACCAAACGTCAGCGTCCTAGCCAGGCAAATGGATGTGAATAATACTTAGCTCGGACCCTGTGAGCATTAAATGAAGTCAAGTACAGAGCAGCGCTTTGTGACTGTGAAGTGCTTATGGAAAGTCTTGTTTCTCAGCATTCTTTTTGTTATTTGTCCTCCTGCCATGGACCCTATATTGGAAAAGATGTTGTCTTCCAAGCAGTGTATGTAGTAAGAAGCAACGTTTATGTTCGTGTGGCCGTTGGCATCATTAGTAACTGGGAGAAAGCCAGAGGTGGAACTCAGTGACCTGGAAGGGCAGGACGAAGGATTCCGAGGGGCAGAGTGGTGGTAGCTCCGGCGTCCGACATCTAACCAAGCTTTGTGGGTGTAGATGGTTTCACAGAATGACTTGACGGTCTCACTGGGGTTTTGGTATAATAGGGACTCTTAGGTTTGTATTGCTTTCTCTTTGTCTCTTCATGGAAGTCCCTAGAAATTCAGGGACAGCCCTTGACCTTATGAATAATACACATGGAGAATCACCTATTCACAGATACTCGGGCACTGAGTGTGGAGTACTGCCTGGAAACTGGACTAACCAGGATCAAGGTTGATTTCTACGTGTTGGAAAGAGCCTTCTAACAGAGGAAAGCGAAAGGGAGGGGATGTGAGGACATTGACACATTCTCTGTGTCAAGCACTGAACCTATTGCTCTACATCCATGCTCTTATTTAATCTTACCAATAGATCTGTGAGGGAGGCATCTTTTTATTTATTTATTTTGTTCATTTTTTAAATTATACTTTAGGTTCTAGGGTACATGTGCACAACCTGCAGGTTTGTTACACAGGTATACATGTGCCATGTTAGTTTGCTGCACCCATTAACTCGTCATTTACGTTAGGTATTTCTCCTAATGCTATCACTCCCCCTTCCCCCAACCGCACAACAGGCCCCAGTGTCTGATGTTCCCTGCCCTGTGTCCAAGTGTTCTCATTGTTCACTTCCCACCTATGAGTGAGAACATGCGGTGTTTGGTTTTCTGTCCTTGTGATAGTTTGCGAGAATGATGGTTTCCAGCTTCATCCATGTCCCTGCAAAGGACAGGAACTCATCCTTTTTTATGGCTGCATAGTATTCCATGGTGTGTATGTGCCACATTTTCTTAATCTAGTCTATCATTGATGGACATTCTGGTTGGTTCCAAGTCTTTGCTATTGTGAATAGTGCTGCAATAAACATACGTGTGCATGTGTCTTTATAGTAGCATGATTTATCATCCTTTGGGTATATACTCAGTAATGGGATCGCTGGGTCAAATGGTATTTCTAGTTCTAGATCCCTGAGGAATCGCCACACTGTTTTCAACAAAGGTTGAACTAGTTTACAGTCCCACCAACAGTGTAAAAGTGTTCCTATTTCTCCACATCCTCTCCAGCATCTGTTGTTTCATGACTTTTTAATGATCACCATTCTAACTGGCATGAGATGGTATCTCATTGTGGTTTTGATTTGCATTTCTCTGATGACCAGTGATGATGAGCATTTTTTCATGTGTCTGTTGGCTGCATAGATGTCTTCTTTTGAGAAATGTCTGTTCATATCCTTTGCCCAATTTTTGATGGGATTGTTTGTTTTTTTTCTTGTAAATTTGTTTAAGTTCTCTGTAGATTCTGGATATTAGCCCTTTGTCAGATGGGTAGATTGCAAAAATTTTCTCCCTTGCCTGTTCACTCTGATGGTAGTTTCTTTTGCTGTGCAGAAGCTCTTTAGTTCGATAGATCCCATTTTTCTATTTTGGCTTTTGTTGCCATTGCTTTTGTTGTTTTAGTCATGAAGTCCTTGCCCATGCCTATGTCCTGAATGGTATTGCCTAGGTTTTCTTCTAGGGTTTTTATGGTTTTAGGTCTAATGTTTAAGTCTTTAATCCATCTTGAATTAATTTTTGTATAAGGTATAAGGAAGGGATCCAGTTTCAGCTTTCTACTTATGGCTAACCAGTTTTCCCAGCACCATTTATTAAATAGGGAATCTTTTCCCCATTTCTTGTTTTTGTCAGGTTTGTCAAAGATCAGATGGTTGTAGATATGTGGTGTTATTTCTGAGGCCTCTGTTCTGTTCCATTGGTCTATATCTCTGTTTTGGTACCAGTACCATGCTGTTTTGGTTACTGTAGCCTTGTTGTATAGTTTGAAGTCAGGTAGTGTGATGCCTCCAGCTTTGTTCTTTTGCTTAGGATTGTCTTGGCAATGCAGGCTCTTTTTTGGTTCCATATGAACTTTAAAGTGGTTTTTTCCAATTCTGTGAAGAAAGTCATTGGTAGTTTGATGGGGATGGCATTGAATCTATAAATTACCTTGGGCAGTATGGCCATTTTCATGATATTGATTCTTTCTATCCATGAGCATGGAATGTTCTTCCATTTGTGTCCTCTTTTATTTCGTTGAGCAGTGGTTTTGAGTTCTCCATGAAGAGGTCCTTCACATCCCTTGTAAATTGGATTCCTAGATATTTTATTCTCTTTGTACCAATTATGAATGGGAGTTCACTCATGATTTGGCTCTCTGTTTTGTCTGTTATTGGTGTATAGGAATGCTTGTGATTTTTGCACATTGATTTTGTATCCTGAGACTTTGCTGAAGTTGCTTATCAGCTTAAGGAGATTTTGGGCTGAGATGATGGGGTTTTCTAAATATACAGTCATGTCATCTGCAAACAGGAACAATTTGACTTCCTCTTTTCCTAATTGAATACCCTTTATTTCTTTCTCCTGCCTGATTGCCCTGGCCAGAACTTCCAACACTATATTGAATTGTAGTGGTGAGAGAGGGCATCCCTGTTTTGTGCCAGTTTTTAAAGGGAATGCTTCCAGTTTTTGCCCATTCAGTATGATATTGGCTGTGGGTTTGTCATAAATAGCTCTTATTATTTTGAGATATGTTCCATCAGTACCTAGTTTATTGAGAGTTTTTAGCATGAAGGGCTGCTGAATTTTGTCAAAGGCCTTTTCTGCATCTATTGTGATAATCATGTGGTTTTTGTCATTGGTTCTGTTTATGTGATGGATTCCATTTATTGATTTGCGTATGTTGAACCAGCCTTGCATCCCAGGGATGAAGCTGACTTGATCGTGGTGGATAAGCTTTTTGATGTGCTGCTGGATTCAGTTTGCCAGTATTTTATTGAGGATTTTCCCATCGATGTTCATCAGGGATATTGGTCTAAAATTCTCTTTTTTTGTTGTGTCTCTGCCAGGCTTTGGTATCAGGATGACGTTGGCCTCATAAAATGAGTTAGAGAGGATTCCCTCTTTTTCTGCTGATTGGAATAATTTCAGAAGGAATGGAACCAGCTCCTCGTTGTACCTCTGGTAGAATTTAGCTGTGAATCCGTGTGGTCCTGGACTTTTTTTGGTTGGTAGTCTATTAATTATTGCCTCAATTTCAGAGCCTGTTATTGGTCTATTCAGTGATTCAACTTCTTCCTGGTTTAGTCTTGGGAGGGTGTATGTGTCTAGGAATTTATCCATTTCTTCTAGATTTTCTAGTTTATTTGCCTAGAGGTGTTTATAGTATTCTCTGACGGTAGTTTGTATTTCTGTTGGATCGGTGGTGATATCCCCTTTATCATTTTTTATTGCGTCTATTTGATTATTCTCTCTTTTCTTCTTTATTAGTCCTGCTAGTGGTCTATCAATTTTGTCGATCTTTTCAAAAAACCAGCTCCTGGATTCATTGATTTTTTGAAGGGTTTTTTGTGTGTCTATCTCCTTCAGTTCTGCTCTGATCTTAGTTATTTCTTGCCTTCTGCTAGCTTTTGAATTTGTTTGCTCTTGCTTCTCTAGTTCTTTTAGTTGTGATGTTAGGGTGTTGATTTAGATCTTTCCTGCTTTCTCTTGTGGGCATTTAGTGCTATAAATTTCCCTCTACACACTGCTTTAAATGTGTCCCAGAGATTCTGGTACGTTGTGTCTTTGTTCTCATTGGTTTCAAAGAACAACTTTATTTCTGCCTTCTTTTCGTTATGTACCCAGTAGTCATTCAGGAGCAGGTTGTTCAGTTTCCATGTAGTTGTGCAGTTTTGAGTGAGTTTCTTAGTCTTGAGTTCTAATTTGATTGCACTGTGGTCTGAGAGACAGTTTGTTGTGATTTCTGTTCTTTTACATTTGCTGAGGAGTGCTTTACTTCCAACTGTGTGGTCAATTTTGGAATAAGTGCAATGTGGTGCTGAGAAGAATGTATATTCTGTTGATTTGGGATGGAGAGTTCTGTAGATGTCTATTAGGCCTGCTTGGTGCAGAGCTGAGTTCAAGTCCTGGATATCCTTATTAACCTTCTGTCTCATTGGTCTGTCTAATATTGACAGGGGGTGTTAAAGTCTCCCATTATTATTGTGTGGGAGTCTAAGTCTCTTTGTAGGTCTCTAAGGACTTGCTTTATCTGGGTGCTCCTGTATTGGGTGCATATAAATTTAGGATAGTTAGCTCTTCTTGTTGAATTGATCCCTTTACCATTATGTAATGGCCTTCTTTGTCTCTTTTGATCTTTGTTGGTTTAAAGTCTGTTTTATCAGAGACTAGGATTGCAACCCCTGCTTTTTTTGCTTTCCATTTGCTTGGTAGATCGTCCTTCATCTCTTTATTTTGAGCCTATGTGTGTCTCTGCATGTGAGATGGGTCTCCTGAATACAGCACACTGATGGGTCTTGATCTTTATCCAATTTGCCAGTCTGTGTCTTTTAATTGGGGCATTTAGTCCATTTACATTTAAGGTTAATATTGTTATGTGTGAATTTGATCCTGTCATTATGATGTTCGCTGGTTATTTGGTTATTTTGCCTGTTAGTTGATGCAGTTTCTTCGTAGCATCGATGGTCTTTATAATTAGGGATGTTTTTGCAGTGGTCAGTACTGGTTGTTCCTTTCCATGTTTAGTGCTTCCTTCAGGAGCTCTTTTAGGGCAGGCCTGGTGGTGACAAAATCTCTCAGCATTTGCTTGTGTGTAAAGTATTTTATTTCTCCTTCATTTATGAAGCTTAGTTTGGCTGGATATGCAATTCTGGGTTGAAAATTCTTTTGTTTAAGAATGTTGAATATTGGCCCCCACTCTCTTCTGGCTTATAGAGTTTCTGCCTAGAGATCAGCTGTTAGTCTGATGGGCTTCCCTTTGAGGTTAACCCGACCTTTCTCTCCCGCTGCCCTTAACATTTTTTCCTTCATTTCAACCTTGGTGAATCTGACAATTATGTGTCTTGGGGTTGCTCTTCACGAGGAGTATCTTTGTGGTGTTCTCTGTATTTCTTGAATTTGAATGTTGGCCTGCCTTGCTAGGTTGGGGAAGTTCTCCTGGATAATATCCTGAAGAGTGTTTTCCAACTTGGTTCCATTCTCCTCGTCACTTTCAGGCACACCAATCAGACGTAGATTTGGTCTTCTCACATAATCCCATATTTCTTGGAGGCTTTGTTCGGTTCTTTTTACTCTTTTTTCTCTAAATTTCTCTTCTCGCTTTATTTCATTAATTTGATCTTCAATCACTGATACCCTTTCTTCCACTTGATCAAATTGGCTATTGAAGCTTGTGCATGCATCACACAGTTCTCATGCCATGAGTTTCAGCTCCATCAGGTCATTTAAGGTTTTCTCTACACTGTTTATTCTAGTTAGCCATTTGTCTAATCTTTTTTCAAGGTTTTTAGCTTCCTTGCGATGGGTTCAAACATCCTCCTTTAGCTCGGGGAAATTTATTATTACTGACCTTCTGAAGCCTACTTCTGTCAACTCGTCAAAGTCATTCTTCCTCCAGCTTTGTTCTGTTGCTGCTGAGGAGCTGCGATCCTTTAGAGGAGAAGAGGCGCTCTGGTTTTTAGAATTTTCAGCTTTTCTGCTCTGGTTTCTCCCCATCTTTGTGGTTTTATCTACCTTTGGTTGCAATATTGGTGACCTACAGATGGGGTTTTGGTGTGGATGTCCTTTTTGTTGATGTTGATGCTATTCCTTTCTGTTTGTTAGTTTTCCTTCTAACAGTCAGGTCCCTCAGCTGCAGGTCTGTTGGAGTTTGCTGGAGGTCCACTCCAGACCCTCTTTGCCTGGGTATCACCAGCAGAGGCTGCAGAATGGCAAATATTGCTGCCTGATCCTTCCTCTCGAAGTTTCATCCCAGAGGGCCACCTGCCTGTATGAGGTGTCAGTCAGCCCCTACTGGGAGGTGTCTTCCAGTTAGGCTACACAGGGGTCAGGTATCCACTTGAGGAGGCAGTCTGTCTGTTCTCAGAGCTCAAACACCATGCTGGGAGAACCACTGCTCTCTTCAGAGCTGTCAGACAGGGACGTTTAAGTGCAGAAGTTTCTGCTGCCATTTGTTCAGCTATGCCCTGCTCACAGAGGTGGAGTCTACAGAGGCAGCAGGCCTTGCTGAGCTGTGGTGGGCTCCACCCAGTTCGAGCTTCCCCATCCACTTTGTTTACCTACTCAAGCCCAGCAATGGCAGACGCCTGAGGGAGGCATCTTAACCCCATTTCACAGATTAGGAAACCAGGGCTAAGTTTTCATGGTTAGGACCAAGAGTTAAGCCTCAGGCTGTTTGCCTCTAAAGAATGTACTTTTTCCACTAAACCATATTGTTTGCTTTTCCTGTATAATAGAAGCTGCTTTAGCAATGATGAGCTCCTTGTCCCTGGAAGTGTTTCAAGCAAAGGATAAATGCTCCTCACTCAGGACAGATTCCAGAGAAAGGCTAGACCAGAGATCTCTGAAGATCTTTATTCTCTTCCACATCAAAACCTTTGAGACTCACAGTTTCATTTCTAACACTAAGGAGAGATATCATTTATGCCAATGTGGAGATCTGGTGGCCAACTTCTATCAATTAAAATTTTAATTACACAATTAGTTCATGATTACATTCTAAGAAAAATCAAATACAATACAAAGTGAAAGCCTCATTCATTTCAAGTCTCTATTTCTGTCCTCTACTTTGATTATCAATTTGCCATGTATCTTATCTAAGTATCTCCTGAGCAGTAACATAAAAACTTATGTATATAAGGAAATATATAGTTTTGTTATTTTCCACATAAGTTGGGTAGTCTTTTTTGAGACAAGGTCTTACTCTGTTGCTTAGGCTGGAGTGCAGTGGTGCGATCATAGCTCACTGTAACCTCAAGATCCTGGGCTCAAGTGATCCTCCCACCTCAGCATCCCTAGTAGCTGGGACTACAGGCATGCACCACCACACCCAGCCCAAGTTGCATATTTCCTTACATATAAATGAGTGACTTGATTTTTTAACATGCTTACTAAATAATTGAATGCAGTTTTAAAAAGCATGGTCCCTAGAATGAGGCTGCTGAGTTTTAAATTCTAACTTATGTGTTTGACTTTGGACGACTATTTAGGTTTTGCACCTTAGTTTCCACCTTAGTAAAGTGGGTTTAATAGTAGCACTCAACTCTTCAGGTCACTGTAAGGTTTTAATGAAACATCACTGTGTGAAGTGCTGAAACAATATACCTGACACTTGTAATTTCAGGACATGCTGGCTGTCATTCAGATATATCTATGAGCTCTTCCTATGTTAATCCGTATACCAAACCTTGTAAATGCCATGTGGAATTCCATGGTATGGATGCATATTACAGTTTAATTACCCATTCTCCTTTTGATGGACACTTATCTGGCTTCCGATTTTTCATGATCTTGAACAGTGCTGTAGAGACTTCCCTGTGTGTCACTATGGATACATGTGCAGTATTTCTCTAGGATGGGTCCTGGAACTGGAATTGCTGGAGAGAAGAGTATGCACATTTTAATTAGAAAAGATCTGCCAGATTGCCCTCCAAAAATATGGTGCCAGTTCAGTCTCCTGCCAAAACTATATGCGGCTGTTTCCCCGCACTGCTGCCAACACTGGGGCCTATCAATCATTTCATTTTTCTCCATCAGATGGGCAGACAATCTACTGTGGTTTAGTTTGCATTTGTCTGATTACCACTGATGCTGAGGATCTTTTCACACGTTTCACGGCCACTTGGATTTCTTCTGTGAATCATCCTTTCGTATTCTTTGTCCATTTTTCCATTAGGATGTGTCTTTCTTTTTGATGTGACATTTCTTTCAGCTGCTGAATTGCTTTTTAGTTATGAGCATTCTGCTTTTCAGTTCTTCTACTGAAATTTTTTCCTTTTAATTTAAATGGTCATGCTTTTGGTTTCCAGGTTCTTTAAGTGGTTCTTTTTTTTTTTTTAAATAATGCCCATTCTCGTTTCATGGATGACTTATTTCTTATTCCGCTGAGGAGAGATTAATGCACATCTCTTAAAGCCTCTTCTGTTTGCTTTATAGACTTGATATTTTCCTGGAAATCATTTCTATTGTTGAGTTCAGCCTCTTTCTTTTATGGTTATAATTTTGCTTAAATGCCTATAAATTTTAGGCTATGAAGCGATCTTCCAACTTTAAATTTTCTGTCTATCATGAGTGGATACAGTCTTGTTTCCCAAATTCAGTGTCTTCATGCTGTAGGGGTTGGAGTTGACCGTGAGTGGCTCATCTTTTGGGCGTGGGACTGTCTGAACTTTTTGGGTCTCTTGGGGCTTCCAAGGAACCGTGTGCGTCTCCTCATTCCCCGACCTGCTTGAGGCAAACACCTACTGGAGTCCCTCAACTCTTCCTCGGCTTGCTGTAACTGGTGTCCCACATTGACTCCTCTGACAAGCCCCTCCTGCATGTCTTTTGTTTTTCAGGGATTCTTGAATATGTTTCACTTTGTCGATGACAAAGTTTTTTTTTTTCCAGTACTTTTTATGAATTTATTTCTTTTTAAAGGCAGCTCTTTTTTCCTGTCATTTCTAGAAATCTGAATGAGAGGAGACAAATGCATATTCTTAGTTTCTCTGTCTTGAACCACTCTCTCTCTCTCATAGATGTGTATTTCCCTGTCTTGATTATAAGTGGATTTTCCTTTTTTTTCTGTTTTAGGAGGAAATTATCACTGTTTCAGGAGGAGAGTTACTTCAGGAACCCTGCGGACAGAGGGACAGCCCACCAGACTACCATCTGTTGTTTGAATAATTTTTTTCCTTATCAATTGGATTCATTTTGGTATCCTGTTTTTGAACTCAGCTTAAGAACTTCTCATCTCAAATCCTATGGCCTTCTGGAAGATCCACCACTATCCAAAGGAAAAAGTAGATTAATATGCCTCAAGGGATATGACATCTATGGCATAGGGCTACTGGTCTCATCCCAGCGATCGGGACAGAAATTGCTAATAGCTCATGCAACTCTTTCATGAAGAGCTTAGCTATGACCTTAGAAGACAAAGCCTGTTTGTCATGGCTGCCGTAAACCGAGCTCTTACAGTGCGTGGACCATGTTTTAATAATCCAAAATAATTCCAGTGCCGAACCCTGAATTTAACATATGGTAGACATTCAGTAAATGTTTGTTGAATGAATGCATGTCTTCTAAAAGTTTTCCAACACAAATTAGCAGTGGTTTCTTGTAAATTATTTCCTACTCGCCACTCTATAAAATCATGGCAATAATAGAAGATTATGAAGGATTTCTATGGAGGACATAAATGCTGCATCTTTCATAATCTCCATTATCACCCTCATTGATATTATCATTGGAATTATCTAAGGTGAGCCCCAGTTTCCAGGGCAGCTGATTGACACCGTCCTGCCTTCCTTATTTAACCTCTTCTTTTGCCACTCGCCTCTATCTTTGAATCATATTTTGGCCTTGGTTTTGCAATGGTTTTATGTCATCCTACAGATGTCTTCAAGACCTGGGGTGAGTTATCAATGCAAGAATGGTTCTTAGAAATCTGATGAGGCCTCTGCTCTCTGGGATGTGGCCCTCTCTATGCAGGTTACTCCAATGATTAGCTCTGTCCTCATTGTCCTTTTAATTCCCTTGTCAACTTAATCTCAGTATGTTGCTTATATTAACAAGAAGACTCACGCAATAACTCCTCGATAACTCTCAGTGATGGTATCTGTTGGTGCATACTTGTGTTCCACAGTTATGGCCATATACACAGAGGTAGTATATGATGAAGAGAAGATTACAGTCTTTACAGTCAAGAAGACTTGGGTTCATATCCTAACCCTGGAACTTACTAGCATTATAATGCTTGCAGCATTGTGTTTGGTGAGAGGAAAAGAATGAATGGATTCTAGGAATGTTAGGGAACGATTTACTTTACCCGATGGCTGTATCAAACATCTATGCCCCACTTCTTCTCTTGCCTCACCTATTCCTTAGATTCTTGGTCACTTCTCTACCACAAGCCACCAGCACTATAACCAGTTTTGCGTGGGTTCTGCTCTTCCTCCCTATGTTGATCAGTGTCATGTGAGCATAAGCCAATGGTAGCTTGCCACATGCCCCATCTCCCATTGCTGCAGAGGCATAAGACAGAAGAGATGGGAAGTGAATGCCCGATGTGGTGAATCTGGGATGAATGGGAGTCATAGGCTGGTAGATCGCTTTTTCCTCCTTCTTCCTCCTGGAGGAACTATTCTGAGAGTCATCTGTTTGTATGGTCTTGTAGAAGACAGTCCTGTAAGATCGAGCAACCAGTCATGATGAAACCAAGTGGTGGCCGGATCAGTATGACACCCTGCTGCCCCCGTTTTTAATTCTTCTCTGCCTTGCCCTGCTCTCTCCTGTTGCTCTGGGATTGCACTTCTGAATGAAGTAGCAGCTCATAAGCTTTTGCCACAGGCTCTGTCTTTTGGGGAATCCAGGATAAGAACCCATTATACAGAAGTGTTCAATAATATCAATTTTGCAACTCACTCAGCTCCATGGCTTCCCCCGGTCTACCTGTCTCACTACATGCATAAAGTGAAATGATGGAAGGAATCTGCTTTCTGAACTCTAATGTGCCTTCATTGATTATCATTAAAATTATCATTAAAATTGCCTTATTTCTATGGACTCAGAGGAATGATGTTTTAGTTTTGGCTCTCTGATTTACCAACTATGTGACTTTGTCCAAGTCATTTAACTTCAGTAAACCTCGGTATGACTGAAAAGGGAGTTTTCTGTATGGCCGTCACTAGGTTTTTTTGTGGGTTAGTTAAATGATAAACATGAAAGCTCTGTCCAAATGAAAAAGGTATTTCTAACAACAACCACAATAACAATAACAACTTAGTGCTTAGCCCATGATGTATCAGGGGATATGATGTGATGATTTTCAAGGTGTTGGAGGCAACTTCTGTTCCAAGAACTCCCAGCAGCTTTGAAAGCAGACTGAGATGAGTTGAGACCCTGAATCCCTGGGCTGTTGTTCCTGTCACCCCTAATTAATATGTGAGAGACAACAGCTGGGTTTTCCATCCCTAACACATTTATTTCATTTTATTTGGGGCCTGCAATTTCTGCATGTCTCATATATTTTAGGTTTTACCTTTTTACCTGGCTTTAAAATAAATCCCTTGTAAGTTGTCCTGCAAATGAAATTACTGTCTGGAAAACTGCAATTTCATCTTGAGAGTTTTATTATGCTAATAAATGTCAGGATTCTCATATAAAGGAGTTGCCTTTTTTTTCCCTGAGCCCTACAAATATAATAAAAAACAGCTGGTCAGCTCCAAGACTCAAGAAAGGAAAAATTTACAATCTATAACTAGAAAGAGAAGTTGTAAAAAAAAAAACACTATGCAACTTAATGGAAAATAAATTTCAAGGAATGAAAGTATAACTTGGAGTACAGATTTGGGGAGATCCTTGTGTGGCAGAAGCATTTTTAGGGACCATCTAAGGGGCATGAGCTGAGAGGTTATGGAGAGTGTTCCCCGGGAGGGGAACATGGGCTTGAAGACCTGGGAGCCTGGGGCATTTGTTCCCCTTTTGTCCCTTTGATCATTATTCTCAGGACTAAATTGCGATCCTAGATGAATTTCTGTATTCTTTGGACTACAGTTTCTTATGTCAAATTAGGTGAACATTGCCTATTTCAGAGGGTGGCTGTGAAAATAACAGAAGATTTTGTTATAGTAATGACAAATACTGTTTTAAGCCGTGTGTGTGTGTGTGCATGCGCATTCATGTGTGAACTCTCACAGCCATGCTTAAGGGAGAAAATGCTACCATCTTTATCTTGTACGTAGGGAAACTGAGGCACAGAGAGGTTCAGAACATTCCCAAGGTCACTTCCTTGGGAAGCACAGGGATTGACCACAGTCACGTATCAGTCTGAGTGGACCTTAAACTGCGTAAACAAACACATGATGGTTGTTGAAAATGCAGGTTCTCCTTCAGCGGATCTGGGATTGGGCATGAGGTTCTGTATTTCTGACAAGCTCCTGGGTGTTGCTGATGCTGCCAGACTATGGTTTACACTTGGAGAAGCCAGCCTTGAAAGCAGGGGTTGGCAAATTATAGCTGCAGGCCAAATTCAGCCTGCTGCTCGTGTTTCTACAGCCTGAGAGATAAAAATGGTTTTTACATTTTTAAATGGTTGGAAAAAATTAAGAAGAAGAATATTTTATGACCTGTGAAAATTACATTAAATTCAAATTTCAGCTTCATAAATAAAGTTTTATTGGGATTCAGCCATACTTATTTGTTTACATATTGTCTTTGGCCGCATATGGCCTGTAAGGCCTTAAATATTTACTCTCTGGCCCTTTGCAGAAAAAATTATGACGCATCTGTTAGGAATTATTTTGCTTTCTTTCTCTGCTTTATCTAAATCTACTCTTTTAACACCATCGTTTATGCTTCAGAGAAATCTAAGTGAATGTATTAAATTTTCTAGTAGTGTTCCATTTTAATTTTGAATCTCATCTCATCTCTAGAAAAAGATTCTCTTCCTTGTGAAAGGATTCTAACCAAATGTAGGTGAGTAGTATCATAATTATGTAGATATTTAACATGGGCATATGATCATTTACCTTCTAGATTTATTATATTTCCTACACATAACTGTGTATGTTTTGCCTTTCAGTCTGTGAGGTCCTGGAAATCAGGTGATGCCATATTTATCTGAGTACTTTAGGGTTCCTGGAATAGTTGATAAGGAATTACATCTGTTACGTATTAGGAACAGACAGATTGTGCCCATTTCAAAGACCCACTTTAACCTTTGGGGGACCCCTATGATAGAAAAGTCCGCGGTGAGAATTCTGGCAGCTTTGGGTTTGGAATCTTGAATCTAGTACTGCTTTCAGTTGTTAAGACAAATAAACAAAACAAGCAAACAACTAAATGAGATTGAGAAAGTAAAAAACAGCTCTGCTGACAGCTAGTCTGAGATGGGCGAACTGAGAATTAAAACAGAAATCACATCTTGCAAATCTGCTCTGTGACTTGCAAAACAGTTAAACCGAGCCAAGCCACAACATACAGGAGAAAGTGTCTAAACTCAAACTCTTCTAATCAGCACATGCAGACCCGTATTTTTTAGAGAGGACATCAGACAAACTGATCTAACAGTCATTCCACATGACTTTTTAAAAAAATTGTGGTAAAGTATACATAACATAAAATTTACCATTTTAACCATTTTTAAGTATACGGTTCAGTGGCACTGAGTCCGTTCACATTGTTAAGCAACTGCCACCACCATCCATCCACAGAAAACTTTTCATCTTACAAAAATGAAACTCTGTACCCATTAAACATAACTCCCCATTCTCCCCTCCTCCAAACTCCTGGCAATCACCATTCTACTTTCTGTCTTTATGAGTTTGACTATTCTAGGTACCTCACATAAGAGGAATAATACAGAATTTGTCTTTTTTGTGTCTGGTTTATTTCACTTAGCATAATGTCTTCAAGGTTCATCCATGTGTAGCATGTGTCAGAATTTCCTTTTTAAGGCTGAATAATATTCCATAGTATGTAAATATCACATTTTATTTATCCATTCAACTGTCAATGGACACTTGGATTGGTTCTACCTTTTGGCTATTATGAATAATGTGGCTATGAACATGGGTGTACATCTCATAACTTTTGCGTTCTGTAGATAAAATTACTGACTGTTCTAGCAACTCCCTAGTTTCCAGATTCTGACCAATCCCTGCCAAGAACCTTTAACTCCAGCTCCCCAGTCTTAGTGAGTACGCTTTCCTAACTTTTACCTTTTCGCTTTCCATGATTCCTCTTGTATATGTGCTCTCTTGCTGCAACAAGCTAATAACCTCAACTTCGGCTGCGTGTGTATTGCTAGTAGGCTTTAGCTGATAGGCTTTAAGAAGACATTATCTGTGAAGCGTGCTGTCTGTAATAGACACTCAGTAAGACTCCATGCCTTCTCTTGGCTGACCATGCTGAATAGCAGCTGTGAAAGCCCTTCTGTGAGTGGAGTCTTCTGTCCATTTATATCCTCATCTCAAGATGAGCTCATGGTCTTGCTGGGCTTATGAGCTCATCCCAGGAGACTGTATGAAGTGGCGTGAGGTGATAGAGGCAGAGACATACTCAATAATGGCTGTGTCAGCTGCTCTTCTGAAGGGAACTTTCTTACCCTGGAGGCACCGAGTGTCAGAGGTCGCTCAGTCATAGGTACTCCCTAGAGAGAAGCTGAGGAGGAGGAGGCTGGGGGAGCACTCATCCCCTGTAGAATGAGGAGGCTAGCAGAGCTTGTTCATAGTGGACCTATGACCCATTTGCCAAGAGGCCTCTGCTATTTGTGGACATCTCCTCCTGCTTCCCCACCCCCCGGTAGGAGGAGACAATAGAGTATAGAAGGAAGAGTAATTCTTGGGGGTCATCAATATGAATCTGAATTTAAATGGCAAAGGAAGAAGGGAAGACGCTTCCAGGAAGAAGAAACAACTGGCATCAGCAAAGATCTGGAGTCATGAAACTGTGTGTCTATGTGTGTGTGTATGAATGTAGGCCTGAAATGGGTTTTTTTTCTTTTTCTTTTTTTTTTTCTTTTGGAGATGGAGTGTCGCTCTGTTGCCCAGGCTGGAGTGCAGTGGTTGTGACCTTGGGTCACTGCAACCTCTGCCTCCTAGGTTCAAGCGATTCTCCTGCCTCAGTCTCCTGAGTAGCTGCGATTACAGGTGCCTGCCACCACACCTGGCTAATTTTTTGTATTTTTTAGTAGCGATGGGGTTTCACCATGGTCGACAGGCTAGTCTCGAACTCCTGGCCTGAAGTGATCCACCCACCTTGGCCTCCCAAAGTGCTGGGATTACAGGTGTGAGCCAACACGCCTGGTCTGAAATGGGCTTTCTATACACTATACCCATGCCTGATTGCAGAAACTAAACATTTGCACAACCAAATTCTTCCTACGGGAGCCATTCTGTCCAGATTCTCAGCCATGAGCCAAGGGTTTTGGACACTTCTGCAACCTATGGGGCAACAGCAATTTGTACTAATAACTTGGTTATTGGCAAAAATTTAGCTTAGACCCTCCGTAACTTGGTTTGTTCCTCATCTGCCTTTTCCTGACTCTTTTAATCAGTATTGTATGTTGTTAACTACCTTTTATGTCCTTATGCTCACAAGCCTCTGGTTAATTTCCCGCTTATTCTTACATCTTCATGGGTTTTTATATTTGGCTTATTCAGATTGGTTGCAATTATTTCTTTTCATTCTGTCATTAACAATTCTTTTTTTCTTGGGCAGCTGCTGGGCAATTTGATAAGGCGGGGGAACCCAACCCCTTATGTTAGGCACATGTGTGCTTTTCAGCCTCGTATTTCTTTTTTTCTTTTTAAAAAATTTAAATATTTTTATATTTTTAAAAAATATGTATTTTTATTTTTATTTGAGACAGGGTCTAGCTCTGTTACCCAGGCTGAGGGCAGTGGCGTGATCTCAGCTCACTGCAGCCTCGACCTCCCGGGCTTAAGTGATCCTTCCACCTCAGCCTCCTGAGTAGTTTAGACTATAGGTGTGCACCACCACAACCAGCTAATTTTTGTGTTTTTTGTAGAGATGGGTTTCACCATGTTTGCCAGGCTGGGGTCGAACTCTTGAGCGAGCTCAAGCAATCTGCTTGCCTCGGCCTCCCAAAGTGCTAGGATTACAGGTGTGAGCCACTGTGCCCGACCCAGCTTCATATTTCAACTGGTAGCTGGTTGTTGAATAGAACCACAGAAAGTTATTTGGGATAATTATGCCTCTTCCCTTATTTCTAGTTTCTAATTTATGGAAAGTTGGAAAAACTTGTGGCAAAGAAAATAAACAGAACAACCAAAATATTATACCACAATTTAAAAAATTAGTATTCTAATGTATAACTAAATTCATTTAAAAAAAATCTGTGAGCTAATAGCTGAGAGTTTTACTCTAGCACACTATTTTAGGAATTAATCAGACACCTCCCTGAGTCTACCTAACAGAATATCATTTTCTGTGAACAACTGAGCAATTTGTTCAAGAGGCATGGAGTCCCTGAGCAAATGGGCCATTGGAAAACTAATTAATGATGTTCTGGTTAGAATCATTCTTAATTTTATAAGCAGATACTAACTCATAGCTGAAACAGAAATGTAAAATCATTTTCAGAACAACTTAACCTTTATTACTTAGTACCTACCGAGGGAGGAATGCTGTGTGTTAAAAGCATTTACCTGACACATATATAGAAACAATGAGGCCCAGGCTAGTGGATAGAACGCACATAGCTGTTAAAGAGAAAATGTCAGTATTCACAATGGAGATTTATGTTCTCAATTAAGCAATTCAATTATTGGTCTAAGGGAGATACCATTACTCCAAACAATTTAAAAAGCCCGTGAACATTAATTTTTAACGTATTGTACTCAAAAGTACAATGGTGACTCAAAGAGGAGAAGTTAGAGGCACATTTCATAGACCTTTGCAAGCTTCTTCTCTTGTCACTGTTTCTTTTCTTCGGGTGGAATCATTCTTCGGTTCCACTGAATAGTAATTTGTCTTTTTCCACAGACCCCCGAGGATGGCTGGGAAAAGAAGATCCAGGAACTGCTGGTGTCTGTACTAGTTACCGCCCTGATAGGAAAGGTGGGGGGCCTAAAAAAAGGGTTGCTTAAGGAGGGTTCATTTAGAAAGGTGGGGTACAGGAGAGCCACAGTGGGAAACCTAGTGACCCAGGGCTTAGTAGCACCCCAGCCTTTACCCACCTGGCCCATAACAACAAAGGAGGGAACAGTTTAGATGAGAAGAGAGACGCACACAGAGTTGGCCATTTTGGAAGGGCAGGGTGGGACTGTGTCCAGGGACAAAGCCAGCCTGAGCCAACCTTGCAGGGAGGCAGCCAGGCAATAAATAAGTAAGTACCCAAACCTCACCCTCTTCCCTCCTTCTGATCTCTGGCTGGGCTCTCATTGGCTGAAGCAGCCTAAGGCCATAGGGTTAGGAACTCTTGGCGTAATCGATACATGTCAGCAGAGAAGGAAAAACAGTACATCTTGGTGGCGGGTGGGGGGCAGGGGGCGGCGAGCTTAGTCCTATGGTGATTCTGTAAGAAATGCAAAAAACCCCAGTTGTTCCTACTCACATAGAACACATAGCACTGAACACTTGACCTCTGATCAACAAAAGGTGTGGGATATTTTTCCCCACCAACAACCAATTCTCCAGCAGACACCAGCTGGATATCCTATAATTTGATTCAGTTCTGACACTGCCTGGAATTAGAGTCAGACTCTGCAGGTTAAGGGCTCAGCCCCACAATACTGCCTCCACTGCAGAGATGCCAGTCACAAGCCCCCAGGTTGTTGCCTGTACTTCAGACCAACCAGGTATAAGTCAGGGTTTCTATGATGCTCTCCTTGGGTTGAGCTCATAGACCTCAGGGAAACGCTTCCTTACTAGTTTATCATAAAGTACTTGATGAACAGCCAAATGGAAGAGATGCACAGAGTAAGATACGTGGGAAGGGGCATGGAGATTCCCTACCCTCTCTGGGTGCTCCACCCTCCAGGTACCTCCATGTGTTCATCACTCCAGGAGCTCTTTGAACCTTGTCCTTTTGGATTTTTATGGAGGCTCCATTACATAGGCATGAATTGATTACAACATTGGCCGTTGGTGATCAACTCAATATTTAACCCCTCTCCCTCCCCAGAGGTTGAGAGGTTGGACTGAAATTTCCAACCCTCTAATCACATGGTGGGTTCTGCTGGCAACCTGCCCCCATGCTGAGGCTATCCAGGAACCCACCAAGAGTTAGAACAAAAGGTACTCCTATCATCCAGGAAATTACAAAGATCTTTGGAGCTCTGTGTCAGGAACCCTCATCAGAGACCAAATATTAGAGAAAAGATTCTCCTAGCATCACTGTCTACAAAGGTTTAGGAGCACTGTCTCAGGAACTGGGGGAAGAGACCAAACACATATTTCTTATTATATCATAATATCACAGCGTCCCAACTTGTCTTGCCAAACTTGAGTTCTCTCAGATACTCAGAAGTTGTGTCTCTGCCTATTCTCCTGTTTCATCCACCACAATCACCTTTCCAGGTCTCCTCAGAACATCAGTTAATGTGCCTCTTTCTCTTGCTTTGAAGGCAGAAGCCATAGCTCTCACCAAACCTCCAGCATTTAAACTTTGCTGTGGAGTCTACGTGACCCCACCACGAGGTGACCCTCACCTTTCCCTCCATACCTGGGGAGACAGACATGGCAGTGGTCACTGAACCCTGGGATGACACGCTACCTCATCCTTTATGACACCCTTTGATATGTTGCTTTTGATGCATTTCTTTGTATCCCATTTGGTTTCATTTTTAGCAATAAACTCATTCTTGGTACATTTCTGTTCTAGCTGTGATCATTTGAATAGTCTCTAATTAAAGGATGATTCCGTTTCTTCCAGCTTCCCCCACTCTCCCTATGGAGTGAGTAGATTCTTTACCTTTTGGTGTCTCCAAAGATGAAGTAAACAACAGACTCGTGAGATTCCTCAGAAAAGGACACAATTGAAGTCAGCACACTCTGAGCTCTCTTGTCTTGGCCTCCCTAGTGGTTTTTTAACTGAACCTGTAGTTCACGGTCCCTGCCCGAGTCCATCCAGGCTGGAAGTTGGGGCTCTGCTGCTAGGAGAACATGTAGGCTTTGGGTTTCACCTACCAGAAAGCTGTCCAGTTTCTCCATGTAGTTGTTTTATGGTTTCTGCAGAAGTAGGGGATAGCCATTCAAAATGACTGTTGTCATTTCCTAACTGGCTAATTGGAGCATGAGATGAAACTACTAAGGTGATTTTTGGCAAATTAGAAGGGAGAGGTGAACTTTAACTATAGTTGGGGTTTCAGGCTGAGTCTGATATGGCTGCATTTGAAACTTTGCAAGAACAGAAGGATAGAAAACAATTTCGCAAAGAGGTAAAATATCTTCAGTTGTCTGCTTTGTCTGTGTAGCCGGTACATTGCTGGATTACATGTCAGGTGTGAACAGGAAGATCTAAAGCAGTTTCCAGTTATACTCACATTAGAATAATCCAAACAAACAAACAAACAACAATGTTCTGACTCAAGAGATGGTGATACCATTGATATGGGGTGGGCCTCTGCATTGGTGTATTTTAAGGAAATAGGGTGTCTATGTTTCCAAGGTCAAGTGCCCTCTTCTGTGGGGCACTGGATAGTGAGAATAGGGTGATGTCTTTGTGAGGATTATGGCATTTAATCATCATAACTATGGAAGCTGTGCAAGAAATGCAATTGATTTTTGAACCCAATTTATACCAATTTCCCATTTTGATGAAAATAAAATTTGGTTATTTCAGGTTAATGTCAGCCAATTTGTTACTCCCTCTTCTTCCTAAAGTGGATTTACTTCACTGGGGGGTACTCACAACTTATCCTGGCCTGTGATGGGGCTGGCCAGGTGTCTGCCTTTCAGGAGAGGTTCTATCCTACTCACCGTCCACTGATCCTAGGGTTCTGTCCTGCTTCCCTGATGAACCCTGACAGAGGGTTCCCCCTATAGCTCTCAGCCGTAGGATTCACATAGTACCAGCCCATAGTCTTGTCGCAGCTTCAGAGCCCTCCAGGTGTGCTCTCTTTCAAAGACATCCGGGAAAGGGCTTGTCTTCTTTCTGGACTGTCTCCATCCAGATGTATAGGAACTGACTTGGGAGAACAGGTACCTTGGGTACCTCCACGTGGGCTTCGCTCCTCTGCTTTGATGTGGGGGATTTGGGAAGGCTTGCTGTCTACCCTCAGACCCCGGCCAAGCTGGGCGTGCATGCCCTTCTCAGGGCTCAGCCTGCAGGGCCCCAGGTGCAGGCTCCTTTTGGCACTGTACAGCAGAATATAACTATCTTGTTCTCTTCTCCAGTTCTTTTTCATTTGCCAACTTGGAGGGTCTCTTTCTATCCCAAGAGTTGCAGTGGGCAAGGGTGAACTGGTTTCTTCTAATTTGTGGTCTTCTAAACAGGTCACTTACACTTGGACTACAGCCTTTGAACTAAAAGCCCAACTGTGCATTGGTAATTGTGAAGCTGGGCGATGGGTACTTGGGGGTTCATGGCACTTACTTCTACTTGTGAATATGTTAGAAATTTTCTATGGTTAAAAAAAAGGTTTGAGAAAAATTTCAAAAAGGTAAGAATTTGATCCGCAGGTTATCTAGTTTCCTTGTAAAAACATTCCTGATGTATGCTTCATGTCTAGATTTCTGAACGGGGGAGGTCTTGGGCAAAAATTAGGAAGTATGCGTGTGTCCGTGTTTGTGTTTGTGTGTGTCTCTGTCTCCATGTCTTTGTGTGTCTGTCTCTGTGTGTATCTGTGTCTGTCTGCCTGTGTGTATATATCTGTGTGTGCTGTGTGTCTGTATGTGTGCTTGTGTGCATATCTGTGGCTGTGTGTATGTGTGTATATGTCTGTGTGTATCAGTGTGCCTGTGTGTGTCTGTGTGTGTCTGTGTATGTATCTGTGTCTATCTGTGTCTGTGTGTCTGTGTATCTCTGTATGTGTTTGTGTGTGTATCTGTGTGTTTGTATATCTGTGTGTCTGCTTCTGTGTTTTTGTGGATTTGTTTGTGTGTCTCTCTGAGTGTCTGTGTGTCTGTGTGTCTATCTGTGCCTGTGTGTATGTCTTTGTGTCTCTATGTGTTTGTGTATCTGTGCCTGTATGTCTGTGTGTGTGTGTTCTTTGTGTATATCTGTGTGTCTGTGTCAGTATGTGTTCTCTGTATTTGTGTGTGCCTGTATGTGTATCTGTGTAGGTGTGTCTGTGTGTTTGTGTGTGTATCTGTGCCTGTGTGTTTGTATCTGTATGTGTCGAAGTGTGTGTATCTGTGTGTATGTCTGTGTATCTGTGCCTGTGTGTATGTCTGTGTGTCTTTATGTGTTTGTGTGTCTGTGCCTGTGTGTATGTCTATGTGTCTCTATGTGTTTGTGTATCTGTGCCTGTGTGTATGTCTCTGTGTATGTGTGTGTTTCTGTATGTATCTGTGTGTGTGTCCTCTGTGTGTTTCTCTATATATCTGTGTGCATCTGTGTGTGTTCTCTGCGTGTATCTGTAACTCTGTGTGTGTGTCCTCTGTGTGTTTCTCTGTATATCTGTGTGCATCTGTGTGTGTTCTCTGTGTGTATCTGTAACTCTGTGTGTTTCTGTGTGTGTCTGTGTCTGTGTGGGTGTTTCTGTGTGTGTGTCTGTGTGTGTCTGTGTCTGGGTGTTTCTGTGTGTCTGTGTCTATGTGAGTGTCTGTGTATCTGTGTCTGTGTGTCTCCGTGTGTGTGTCTGTGTCTGTGTGCCTGTGTCTGTATGAGTGTCTCCATGTGTGTCTGTGTGTCTGTGTCTGTGTGTGTCTGTGTGTATGTGTGTGCGCGTGCCAGAATAGGCCCAGTGGAGCACCAGACAAGGCCCCTCCTCTTCCTGTCGTCACCCAGCCTGTCCCCTGGTCCTGCCTTGCCCTTGCTGACAGCCTAGGGTCCTGGGGAATTGTTCTGAGTCCCTCAAGTCCCTGATTTAGTCCTTGGCCTGCAGGGCTGTCACTAGCACTGCACTGGCTCCAGTGTTTCTCATCCCCTCTTCCCAGGCCCCTCCTGGAGCCCTGCCTGCTCTCGCCTCCCACCCTTTCTGTGTCCTTGTAGCACCGTCCCTTCTCCCACTGTGACCGTGGGTCGTCTGTGTTCTGGAGGACCAGAGCCCTTCGGAAAGCATCTTGGCCCTTTGGCTTGATTGCTGGTCAAGGACCCAAAACATTCAGAGCATGGTGGCACCTCCTCACAAGGCCTGCTCTCCACGAGCCTCTGGGGTTTTGAGCTGTCAGTCTCTCTGAGTGTCCTTTGCAGCCATCACTGCACTTTGTGAAACCATGATGTGTTAATGCGTTGAAAGTAATAAGAGCCCTTGGAAAGAGAGCAAACTGAGGGATGGAAGACCTCAGCCCATGGCCATGGCCCTGCTGGTATTGAGCCTTCCTCTGAGAGGCAGCTTGTGCCCAAAGTGAGTAGGACACCTTGCTGGTCACCCACAGTGCCAGGATAGGAGGACCTGCTAGTGGCATCAGTAGCAGGTTGCTACTGGACAGGTTCCTACTAGGTTCCTTCTAGGCTAGACTTCCGCTAGACATCACCTAGATGGCCTCTGTGCCTGCCTCTTCTGACGCCATCCTGCCAGGTGTGTATCCTCTGGCTCTTTGACACCGGCGTCATCCTGGCCACAGGCTCTAGAAATGTGCTGTACCTGGTCTCTCTGTCAGGCTCTTCACTTGTTGGGGCCTCCCCAAGAGTCCTTGGCACAGTCCTCTGCCTGGTGAGCCACATTGGAAACCTCTAACACCTCCGGCCGGGTGCTCTATCACGTGGGATCCGACCCACCAACCTGCATCTGCCTCTCCTACATTGCTGGCTGTTCAAGTGGCCAGGCCCAGGTCTTGTGGTCTCCAGGAAGCAGGGGCTGGGGATTTTGTTGATAGCAGTGTATTAAGGTTCTCCAGAGAACCAGAACCAATGGGGGGTGTGTGTAAACATATGCACACATATGTACAGACAGATACACCTATACAAGAGATTTACTTATGCAATTGACTCACGTGACTATGGAAGCTAACCCAGGATGGGCCATCAGGTTGGCGTGTGTCTTTCTGTGTGTGTTCTCTGTGTGTATCTCTGTCTGTGTATGTCTTTCTGTGTGTGTGTGTCTGTGTGTGTGTGTGAGTGTCTCTGTGTGTGTGTGTGACTGTGTCTGTGTGTCTCTGTGTGTGTGCCTGTGTCTGTGTCTGTGTGTCTGTGTCTTTGTGTCTCCGTGTGTGTGTCTCTGTGTCTGTGTGAGAGTCTCTGTGTGTCTGTGTCTGTGTGAGCATCTCTGTGTGTGTGTCTGTGTCTGTGTGTGTCTGTGTGAGTGTCTCTGTGTCTGTGTGTCTCCGTGTGCGTGTGTGTCTGTGTCTGTGTGAGTGTCTCTGTATCTATGTGTCTCCGTGTGTGTGTGTCCATGTCTATGTGTGTCTCTGTGTGTGTCTGTGTGTCTCTGTGTCTGTGTGTCTTTGTGTGAGTGTCTCCGTGTGTGTCTGTGTCTGTGTGTATCTGAATGTCTCCGTGTCTGTGTGTCTGTGTGTCTGTGTGTTTGTGTGTGTGTGTGTGTCTGTGTGTCTGTCTGTCTCTGTGTCTGTGTGTGTCTGTGTGTCTCCGTGTGTGTGTCTCTGTGTGTCTGTGTCTGTGTGTCTCCGTGTGTGTCTCTGTGTCTGTCTGTGTGAGTGTCTCCATATGTGTGTGTCTGTGTGTCTGTGTGAGTGTCTCCATGTGTGAGTGTCTCTGTGTCTGTGTGTGTCTGTGTGTCTCCGTGTGTGTCTGTGTGTGCGTGTCTGTGTGTGTGTGTCTGTGTGTGTCTGTGTGAGTGTCTCCGTCTGTGAGTGTCTGTGTGTGTCTGTGTTTCTGTGCGTGTGTGTGTGTGTGTGTGTGTGTGTGTGTGTGTGTGTGTCTGGAGATGCAGGGAGATGCTGATGTTGCAGTCTAGTCCGCAGGCCTCTGCTGCAGATTCTCTCTTGCTCCAGGGAAGTTAGTCTTTTTTTCTATCCAGGTCTTCACCTGAGCCAATGAGGCCTACCCATATGATGCAAGGTGATCTGTTTAACTCAAGGTCCATCTATTTAAATGTTAATCTCATCCAGAAACACCTGCACAGAAACATCCAGAATCAATTTTCACCACATTTCTCAGTACCAGGGCCCAGCTGAGTTGCCACCTACAATTCACCACTAGAGCAGTCCTCAACTCCAGAGGCCAATGCTGGTGGTAAGTACTGAACTACAGATGGCACGACTGATCATGGTGACCTACAGGAGGGCCTTGCTTGGTGGACCCCTCTATTGATGGTCTATCACACTCCTAGGCCAACCTCTATGCCTCAGACTGAAAGGACTCAGAACATTTTAGCATCCCCAAACAGATCTTTGCCAAATCCCTCCACTCTGCTTCTTCACTCTAAAATGGGAGCGGGAAATTGCCTCTGGGTTCTGCGCTTTCTCTGGGTTTGGCCAATTCCAAGGCACGGGACTAAAATTAGCCCTCCCTCCACAGGCTGCCTGGATGAATTCCTCTGGCGCTGTCCCTGAAGGTGCATCTGTCAGCGGCTTATGAGTCTGTCCAGTCCTGCCTTCCACTTGCTGGCAGGTGCGGAGAAGTGAGCCACTGCAGCCACTCGCCCGTATCCTTTGGGTGTTTTATGTGACTTCTGAAAGTCACTTGCATTAGCTCCAGCTTCAATCCTCTTCCCAGGGGGATGAGACGTTGTAGTGCTGCTGTGTCTGAGAAATCCAAAGCATGTTCACTGCTCTGGAGATGAGAGTTCATTGAGCAGGGACAGGAGACTCCACCAGATCCTTTCTAATCACAGGGAGCCTCTGACCTCAGACACACTGGTCAGAACTTGTCAATAATGAAGAGAATGTAAACCCAGATAGGAATGCCCTTACCCTTGCCTGGTTTCCCGCTGTTCGGGTCTGTCATTGTTCCGTTTGCTTCATTTTACACCCTGAAAACCATATGCCCCACCTAGACAGTTTTATTCACTTTTGGGACACTTTCTGGTGGCCTGCTAAGCTCCTGCCCAGTGCTGGGTGCCGGGAACATAGAGGTGAATTAGATACACAGGCAGCGCTGGTGGGGTCTAGTGGGCTCATGGGAGCAGACGGCCTCATGGCTCTGCCCCATCCCCAGTAGCCTGTTTTGCCCTTGCTGCTACTGACACGGCACTTTCAATAGCCCACGGCTGCTGCTTCTCCTCAGAGGACTGTTCTAGGGTAATGGAGTCACTTTGCAAGGAGGCGTCTCAGAGTTTATGTTTCCACCCTCCTTCTCCAGCCCTGGCTGCCATGAAGACAAGCCATTCAGGTACGGGGTCTGGAAGCCCAGATACTTGCCTTGGGTTGGGACAATGCTGAGGCATAGCTTACCCTCTTGAGTTCCCCTGGGGGGTCAGTCTGAAGACACCTTCTGCTTCAATTTTGCTTGAGATCATTCCCTGGCTTGGCTTCCTCCTCTTCTTGTCCTACCCACTTCCCTGCCCCCGGCTCCCTCACCATCTTCCCTGGGAGAACGTCCTTCATAAATCACATGTGCGTGACATGACTCCTCCTCTCAAGGTCGGCTTTGGGGAGCTTTGTCCTGAGGCAGTCATAGAAACTTAGAAAAATACGAAACCATGTGATTAAGTTTAAGGGGTGCTGGGAGAACAGTTCAAGGACTCGTGTGTGTGTGACACACGGAGGAAGGTGTGTCAGGGAAGGCTTGGTTCTACCGTGATGCTCATGGAGCATTGCTGATGGTGGCAGCGCAGGAGCAGGCTCAGCCTGCAGGGCCATGGCATTGGCAGTGCATACATTGCTGGCTTCAGGTGCTTGGAGGTGGTGGCAGAGGGTTCATCCCTGGAGGGTTCTGCGCTATAGTCTTGCTTGTGGTTCTGACTGTGCTTTTCTTCATCCCGTCCACCTATCTAGCTGCTTCCTCTAGGCTTTCCGGTAATACTGTGAGTTCTTTCTCGGCCTTCCTCTTTCTGTTGCAACAAAGAGCCCTGCCTAGTCCTTGAGTCACAAGTTTGGCGAGGATTGAGGAAGGGGGAAAGTGAGTGGCATGTGAACAGGCACAGAGTTGTGAAAAGGCACCCTCTTGGGGAGCTGCAGGAGTTTGGCATTACTGGGGTTGGAGTCAGGGGTGAGCTGGAGAGGGCTGGCCGCCAGTACAGAAGGATCGTATGCACTCTAATATGGAGATTAGAGTTCTAATCTAATATGGAGATTAGAGTTCTAATCTAATCTAATATAGAGATTAGAAACCTAGGTTGTTTCAGTCACTCTTTGCTTCAAAATGTCATCCAGATGTGGACATAGGCCTTCAACACTACGGACCTAAACTCTTTGACTGTGGAATACATTGCACTCTGTTTTATTTACAAATGGACGTTTCTGTAACATCTGCTGCCTCTAACTTCCTGGATCCATGGATACAGAGCTAACAGTAGAGAAAGGCTCTCCATTTATCTTAAATTCCAAGCTCTCTCACACAAGAGGAGCCAAGGGAAGGGGGATGATCATTTTCAAAGCACTTCACATTCTGTGTCTAATCTGGATGTATTATCATCATCATCTCACTTTACAGATGAGGAAACTGAGGCTCAAATAGCTTACCAAACTGGTTGAGGTTGCTCAGTTACAGAATACTGATGCTAGTGCATGAACCCAGACCCTCCGGCTCCACAGCATCCAGTCTTTCCCTATGTGCTCTTAGATGATTTATCTGCAGGTCTTGTTTCATTGTCTGCCCAGCACACATGTGAATTACAGCTCACCTCCAGTGTGGTGACAAGGCATCAATCTTATTTCTTCTGTGTCTTTCTAGTTTGGATGTGAGAGAAGACGTGCATTCATCAGGGGTGACTGAAACCGCTGCTAAGGATTCAGCTCTAAACTGACTGTAAGCCTCTGGGTTTGTAGCTAAAGGTGGGTCCAACCTTGGCAGCCAGGGACTAATAAATGAAACTATGACATCCATAAGCTTGAGATGCTGTGATTTACACTTTTGTGTAAATCAGTATCCATATCTAGTATCCACTGGCAGTGAGTTGCTGAAGCCATGAACCTATTGGGAAAAATCCATATGATGGTGACAGTCACCACTTACTGAATGTCCACTACATGCCAGATACCACACAAGGCACCTTTATATGCTATCTATACAGTCCACACAAAAGTGCAGTGAGGTAGGTGGGATCATGCCCATTTTCATATGTGGAATTCAAGGTTCAGTATATTTAAGGACCTTGTCTGGAACCACACAGCTAGCAAGTGGAAAAATTGAGGTTCACACAATTTGGTCTGACTCCAAAGTCCACGCACTTCCATCTAGAATCTTGCTACTCCAAGTCTTGTGCTTGGACCAGCAGCATCACCTAGGGGCTTGTTAGAAATGCAGGATCCTAGGCTCTCCCCTAGGCCTAGCTTACCAGAATCTGGATTTTCACCAGATTCCCAGGTGATGTCTATGCACGTGAAATTTCAAGGCACTGTTCTGGGCTGCACAGCCTCAGCTTCGTCCTTTCAAGATCTTGTGGATGGAATCCTGATTGCCATAATCTCAATTGAGCATGAACACGACTCTCATGGAACCTTTCCTTTGCCCTCTAGTGTGGAGAGTTGTCCCATTTTAGTCCCCTATCTTACCTAAGGATCTTCAACCACTGGGGACTGGCCCAAAATCAATCAATCAATCAATCAATCAATCAATATCTATCATTCATCTATCTATATCTATCCTATCTATCTATATCTATCTATCTATCTACCTATCTATCTATCTATCTATCTATCATCTATCTATCATCTATCTAATCTATCTAATCTGTCTATGTCTATCTAAAAAGGAGGGGCGGCCAGGCCTGTGATACTGTGATATTCCGTTTGGCCAGCAGGGGGCACCCGCAGCATCTCCCACGGCAGCCTCTTGAGCAGCAGGGAGAAAGCTGGGAAGTTCAGCTTCCTGCCTGTAAGGAGGGTGCGGTGGACGGATTAAGAACAACGCTGGGAAGGAAAAGCCTGCCTGTCAGTTTGCTCCGTGTGGAGCACCCGGCTTTACAGAGCTGTGCCGCAGAGGTGGAGAAAAGCTTTTGTCAATGTGTGTGTTTCAGAGTAAGCGATGGATCTAATCCCTGGGAAAAGCCCATGCTCGTCTCTACCGGCTGCAAACCAGCCCTGGGAGGCAGGCGCGTGTGGTCGGGAGGCAGGGGCCTAGCTTCTAATTTTGGTTGTGCTAGTAACTCACAGCGGGACTTTGGGACTTGGTTCTTTTTCTCAGCCCTAGTTCCCTGGGCTGTCTGAGACATAAAGTGCATAAGATCACCTCGAAGTTCTTTTCAAGCAGTAACAGTCTATGAAGTCATAATTAAAATGTCCTAGGAGAACGCTCTCTACTTAAAAGATTTTTTTTTTGTTAAATCAAACTGTGCAAAGCTAATTATCACTCCTTAATTCGTCTATTTTATAATTTCCATTTTTTCTACTTAAGTTTTCTTTTTTTGGTGTAAAAGTGAACATTTATTTAAAATATGAAAAGAAAACACAAAACACCAACTGAACAAGCGCCAAATACCACAAACATCCCCAAACCCAGAACGATGACATTGTATTTTTTACAAAATAACTTCCTAACACATCTCTATAAGAACTTTCATCTTCCTACAGTTTTTCTTTTTCTTTTTTTTGGCTTCATATGCTGTAGTCATCTCTTCATATATTGCAATTTTATAATATTTTTCATATAAAAAATTAAAAAGATAAGCCAACCTTTTCTCTGAGTTGATAAACTTTTGTTTTATTATTGATCGTTGTATGTGATTCTGAAGCCATACAACTTCAGATACTGACTACTCATTGTTTGTAGTGTTGCTACAGGATTGTACTTTTCAAACAGCAAATCTGAAAGATCATATTTCACCCAATTCCCATCAACAAAGAAAAAATTGTTGCATTTACAGCTGAATACTCTGTGTTCTTGAATATATTCTTGAGAGTCGAGAACTTCCATTTTGACTAAATGCCAGTGAGAATTCCAGATTGTGGAATTAATTGTATATATTTGATGACTTAAAGATTTTTTCACAGATTTAACTTCTGGCTCTGTATATTCTAAGCCTTTTTTCCCCTCCATTCCCATTTACTTCTGGTGCCAGGTACAGTGGGACACGTTCCTAGGGCGACAGAACTGGTGGTCCTGTACCTGCAGGCGAGGGTGTCAGATGAGTGGCCTGGGGAGGAGTTCTGGAAACCATTCCCACGACAGGCTTGCTCCCTGCAAAGCTGTGCGGGGAACTAGGGGAAGTCCATCGTCACTGCTGAAGGATTTCTGCCTGCAGGGGGCAGTGCAGGCCATTGGCTGTGGCTGTGCCAGGCTTTGACTTTACCCAGGAAAGGCTGCAGAGGGATGGGTGACTGGAAAATCCTCTTTCACGTGTAAGTTTTTTTCACCTCTCCTGAGCTGGTTCAAACTTCAGTGTCATTTCCCTCCTCTCTGATGTGTCCTTTGTTCTCACTCACTACTCTTCTTGCCACATTCTGAAAGTCTGGAACATTCCCAAAATCTGCTTGGAACAGACGTAGCTGCATCCTCTTACTTCAAACTACAAGTTGAGGATCAGCATAAGAAAACGAAGCTAATGTTTTGTTTATTCTATTCCTCTCAAAGATATGTCTCAGGTAGGTCTCCCTGCCTGTGAGTTTCCAAGTTTTTTTTTTTTTTTTTTGAGACGAGGTCTCACTGTTGCCCAGGCTGGAGTGCAGTGGTGCGATCTCAGCTCACTGCAGCCTCAACTTCCTGGGCTCAGATGATCCTCCCACCTCAGTCCCTCTGAGTAGCTGGGACTACCAAGTACGTGCCACCATGCCCTGCTAACTTCTGTATTTCTTTTGGTAGAGATGGCCCAGGCTGGTCTCAAACTCTTGGGCTCAAGCAATCTGCCCGCCTCAGCCTTCCTAAGTACTGGGATTACAAGTGTGAGCCAACATGCCTGGCCGATTATCTAAGTTTTTATTTTATTTTATTTTTTAATTAAACCTCATAAAAGGATGTAGTGAGCCAAACTCAGAATGAGGAAAAGTCTGTTAAAAAGGTAAACTGAGGCACAATAAAATTTTTAGAGTTTATTTGAGCAAATAATGATTCATGAATTAGGCAGCTTCAAACCAGAAGTGGTTCTGGGCAGCTCCACCAAGGGAGGGGCTTTCACAGGCACATGGAAGTAAAGCCAAGAAAATGTTTGATGGGTTAGTTGGACAGTTGCCTTGTTTGGTCTATCCCACTGGAAAGTCCCTCATAACAATTGTTAAGTTTTTGGCTGTTTCTGATTCGTTGAGCTTCAGTTTTGTTTTTCTTTCATGTAGGCATTTACAAGAAATAGCCCAAGTTAAATTTTGCTTATATTTGCAAATCAAGCAAGGTTAGAGTCACTTATAAGGCCTAACTGGTTTTGTCTCCGCAGGGATTCTTCAGGCTTGGCCCCCATTTTAATTTACTTGAACAACTTTATATGACAAATGACTCCACTTTTTCATAAAAGAAATGGCATGGAAAAAGGGGGGTGAGGTGGGGCAGTAACTTTTAGGTGAAAAAAAACAAGAGACAGATCACTGAGTGCAATGTGTGGACATTGTTTGGATCCTGATTTAAACAAACCGACTATAAAAAGACCACCTGTGAAACATGTTGGGGCATTTGTGCGTGGTCTAAAAGTTAGTCGATACTGAGGAATTCTTAAGATGGTTGACTGTGATGTGATAGGTGATAGTTTGGATTATGCTCCAGCAAATGGGTGTCACCCTCTACTCCCCTTCCTTAGCTGTAGGGGTTAGACAGGAAGGAGGCGGCAGATGCAAAACCCCAGGGATTAGGTGACAGGGACCTTAGTTAAGGGGGTGGCAGCAGGGTTAGTGGGAAGGGGACGGACCACGAAACCATTTTTCTCTCTCCATCTTTCCCATCTTCTTTTCCTCATACAGTTACACATTTTCTTGCCCTTAGGCTTTCCTAAGGGCCCTTTTCAGGATGCCCTCCCTCACTCCTTCCTCTTCCATATTCACTTAAGCCAGTCAGGACTCTGATCTTGCTGTCTCCAGTGCAGCACACTCTGTCCATTCCCTTCCCTGAACGTCCCCTGTATTCCCAGGCCATTGCTCACAGGTCAGCCCTGGGTCATATGCTTATCTCTCCAGCTGGACAAGAGACTCTTTGAGGAAGGGCCAGAACTGGGTCTGATGTCAACTTTACTCCCTACATCCTGTGTGCTCAGAAAAAGTTCACTGATTGAGAGGTCCACCAAGTTCACCAGGCAAACACAAGTTATCTTGGAATATGTCTTTTCATCGACAGAGGGTGACCCCAGCAGTGCCTATGCCACCTGGAGGGGAATTTGGAGGCAGTGGGAGCACCAGGCAGCAACCTGCAGACCCCCTGGAGGGTAATAAGTGACAAGGCTTTATTTCATCTTGTCCCATCCCTGACCATGGTCCTTCAGAGAAGCTGCCTTGAATAACGAGGCAGGACTTTTGGCAAATTAGACCCTGGTGGGCTCCACTGCAGTGGCTGTCAACACTGGCCACACGTTAGCACCATCTGGGAGGGCTTAAAACTCAAGCCTGATGGTGAGCTCTCTGTACCTCCTCCAGACTAATTAAAGACTAATTAAAACAATCTCTGGGGAGTGGGGGCCCAGGCATCTCACATTTTCAAACCTGTTGAGATGATAATGATTGTAGCTGAGGCTGAGAAGCACTGGGCTATGGGAGTCTTTGCCCCACTACAGAGCTGGGATTTAATGGAGCCATTTACAAAGCTGCTGGCTGGTCCTTGTTGGCTGTGCCAACAGGGAGAACAAGCTCACAGTATTTTATTTCTATATAATACAGTCAGTAGTCCCAATAGAAAGCAAGGAAAGGTTCTTAAAGCCATCTGCTTCAGGAGAAAACTGGGGTGTGGGACTTGCTGCCAAGAGGAGAAATTCAGAGGGATGGGATAGAGGCCTGTTTGCAGAAGAAAGAGGGGCTGGACAAGTAGTTCAGAAGCATTCACATTCCTTGTTCTGGGATGGGATGGGCAAGGGGCAAGAATGTAGGAGGGAGGGAGCCTGAGGAAGCATCACTACTCCTGGGAGTCATAGTATGAGGAAGAGCTCTTATGGCCCTGAGAGGATGGGGCTGCCTGGAGCCCAGGGTCCCAACCTATCACTTCCCAGGGAGGGTGAAAGTGTCCCTGTCCCTGGGGGTCCTCATGGAGGCCTCTGTGTCATTGCCAGCCCTTGCCCAGAGGATATGTCCTGTCAGGGGGAGGGTGTGGCATGGCTGCGAGCTGAGCAAGGCAGGTATAGGTGGCAGAGGGGCCATGGTAGGAGGAGAGAGGTACTAGCCAGCTCGGCCTCTCTCCCTCACAGCACTGCCCCGCTGTGTGACCGCTGAGTGGGGAAAAGGTATGAAGTACTTACATGATGCTTAAGGCACAAAAAGTAACATATTTTTTATTCTTTCTAAATGATACACAATCTAGCTCTGAGATTCAGCTCGTGAGGAAGCCAGGTCTGGTCGCTTCTGGCCTCTCCCTAAACAAGAGCTCTGAGGCTCACAGGATCCATGTTGACTGCCTCTTTCCTCTCCTTGCTCTGCCTGTTAAGGGCATGGCTTCCTCAAGAAGGCTACCCTGAAGCCCCATGCAGCAGCCCTTTCCTCTGCCTGCAGCTCGGGCTAAAAAAGCTTTGTTCCTTTGTTCTGAGACCTTGCCATCCTTGGAGTGTTGGGCCTGAAATGGGTTCTGGTTACAACTAGGAGCAGAAACCCAAACCCTTCTCCTCCTGCAACTTATCTGGAAACAAAACTTTTCTTCAATCTGCAGCATTCAAAGCTGCAAACTCTTCACCTTTGACCAGCTGTTCCCATTGGATTCACCTGGGGCACTTTAAGAACTGCTGACTGACTGTCACTTCTAGATTTCCTGATTTAATTGGTCTGGGTGCAGGCTAGGCATAGAGACTTAAAGTTCCAGGTGATTCTGATCTGCAGCCAGGGTTGCGAGCTGTTGCCAGCCCAATTCCTCTTCATTAGGCATAGAGAAGTTTCATGGACCCAGCTGTCTGCAGAAAGCAAGTGGCTAACATCAACACAGGATGCCAAGTCTCCCACCTGCACAGATCCAGTGTCTTTAAAAACCTGTGCAGGCTGAAAACAGTGTCTAAAGGGTGGCCCTCAGTGACCAGCATGGCACCACTCACCTGGGTTTTTGAGAACAAAAGCTTACTCACATACTCACCTAGCAAGTAAGGGAAGCCCATGCCTTTGGGACCAAAAGTTCTGGCTGTATTTGAGGCGGAATAAAACACAGCTGTTTCACATCCAGGTTATAGTACATTTCTAACAAATCATTCTACTACGCTAGCTTACTTCTTTTTGCCCAGTTTGAATGCCAGTGCCATAATGCCAGGGATTACGTCTATGAGTTTTCTGCCGTATCCCTACTTTACAGGACAGAGCCTGGCACTAAGGCAATCTTTGTCACAAGAACAGATGAATACCGGAATGGATGGATGGATGGATGGAAGGGTAGATGGATGGATAAATGCATGGGTGGGTGGATGGATGGATGGATAGGTGGATGGAAGAACGAATGGATAGATGGGTGGGTGGATACAGGATGAGCATGTGGATGGATGATCCAGAATCACTGCCTCCTGAGATGCTCTAGAAAATCAGCCTCTCACTCAGGATTTGTATTAGTTTGTTCTCACACTGCTATAAAGAACTACATGAGACTGGGTAATTTATAAAGAAAAGAGGTTTAATTGACTCACAGTTCTGCATGGTTGGGGAGGCCTCAGGAAACTAACAATCATGGCGGAAGGCAAAGGGGAAGAAGCATGTCTTACCATGGTGGAGCAGGAGAGAGAGAGAGAGAGCAAGAGGGAGAGAGAAGGTGCTAAACACCTTTAAACAGCCAGATCTTGTGAGAACTCTATCATAAGACAGCACTAGGGTGATGATGCTAAACCCTTAGAAACCACCCCCGTGATCCAATCACCTCCTACCAGGTCTCTCCCCCAGCACTGGGGATTACAGTTCCACATGAGATTGGGATGGGGACACAGAGCCAAACCATATCGTAGTTCTTTTCAAAAGACAGAATTGGCGAGGGACGCCTGAAAGCAGAGCAACATGTCAATTCAATTTTTAAAAAGGTGAGAACTTCAGAGCCTAGGAAAGTTTCCTTTGAGCTATTCACATGGTCACCATTTAAGATTTTGTGAGTAGTGACCACATTGGCCTCTCTGTCTTGTGACACACACTCCCCATGATTGGGAAGAGAAAGAAAGCACATTCTTAGGAAAGCCATCAACCTCACAGAGTGACCTTTCAGGTACAATGATTTATAAGAGAAGAAAAAAACGCTGCAATAAAAAGATCTCTTTCTTTCATTCTTTTCCAGCTACCTTTATTCCTAAAGGGAATATCTTTTGAGTTGCCTTTTATTCCATCATTGTATAGGCCTTCTCTCTGCTACCTGTATGGAAGGGAATCCCTCAGGGCTCAGATATTTCTGAGCAGGTGGGGGGGTGTTGGGAGGATTCAAGGTGGCTGTTGTCAATTCCTGTCCTGACCTGGTTTCATTCCAGCTGTTCCTAATTGGCATGCAGGGCCTGCCGGCTTCTCCCGTCTGTCTCTTCCTAGTGAGTGAGTAGAAGGTAGGCCATGCCCCTGAAGTATGCAGCCTCCCATCTTCCAGGGACATTGGATCCAGGCCTGTCTGCAGGACCAAGTCTTGAGTGGCTGCAGGTTCTTTGTTCACCTTATGGAAACTTTTGGATCTTGACATCAGGCCTTGAGGACAGAGGGGTGAAGAGGAAGGCAGGCCATGGCCTTAATTTTGCTCTCTCTTTGTTTAGTAAGAACTCCTCAGTCAGCAGTGTGTTCCACTACCCTGATCAGCTCTCACCCCTGACCTTTGCCTAGGCAGGAACTAAGCCCACCAAACCGTTTTTAGACTTTGCTGTGAACAGTAAGCCCATCTCCTGGAGGGGAGTCAGTGCTCTGCCCCCCCGCCCCCCCCCCGCCGTTCCATGCAGCAGGTGCACGAGATGATGGCTGAAGTGTGCTCAGTATCCAGCCTGCCTAAGAGGAGCCGCTCAGCTGACGTGGCTCCTAACTCAACACAGACAGTGCTGCATGCTAGAACCAGAAAGGATCCAGTGAACCAGCAAGGGGCAGCTTATTTTGAGGATGTGATCCTTCCTGGGGGAGTCCTGCTTCTGTCAGGCATGACATTCCAAGTAGTTACAGATGACCTCCCAGAAACCAAGGGCAAAGACCAGACCTCTTGTTGGGCAAGGTTAAATTGTTCACTACACAACATCCAAATTGAGATGTCAAGTAGACTGTTGGGTATATGAGTCTGGAGTTCCATGGAAATGCCTGAGCTAGAACTAAAATGGTTGGGAGCCTTAGACATGAGGATATTATTGAAATCCAGGGGTAGGTAGAGGAGGCTTGAAGACAAAGCCTGGACACTGTACCATTTAGAAGAGGCATAGAGAGCCCGAGTCAGCAAAGCACACTGAGTGGTAGCAGCCAGTGACTTAAGAGGAAACTAAACCCTTTCATGTCTTTGATATATATAGAGATAGATCATTATGGTACAATACCAGAATGGTTAAAGGTGTCAGAATCATAAGTACCAGAGAGTTTGAAAGGAAGAAATATTACTAGTGTTTAATGGAGCACTTAATATGCATTAAGACTTATGCTTGCATTGTGTACAAAACTTCAGCAGCTATCTACTCCTTTGAATTCTGCATTTTATAAAAATTACTAGCATTTAGTGAGTGCTTAATATGAGTTAGGATTGATGTTCACATTATGCACAAGACTTTATGAGGTATCTTTTCTACTAAATTCTCCATATTACAGAAAAGGCGTTAAGTCTTAAGAGGGTAAAGTAACTGGCCCAAGGCCAAATGAGATTTACTCCATGTCCATCTGACTCTAAGGCGCTTTCTGTAGGGCTATTGGAAGCAGACGTAGAATTGCTCTATGCAGCAGCAGAAGGCAGCCCCAGGGCCATGCTGGAGCTACTGAGATGATTTCATTTGGCGCAGGGAAGCCTTTCTGATACCTGTGGCTCTGTGAGCCACACGTAGGTAGTGGCATTCCTTACAGCAGTGTGTTCAGGGAGGCGTGGACAGTGTCTTCTTTCCAGTTCACCCTGCTGCTCCTTGTGTGTGACAGGCTGCTACTGGGGGCCAAGCTCTTTTTCTGAGCTTTCCTTTTTTTTTTTTCTTTCTGTGCCTTCTGGGCGATTAAGTGTAATTCAAATACCACAATCCACTTACTTTTTTCACACCTTGCCTCCAAGGTTTATTTCCCATACCTTCAATTTTCTTTTTTTTTTTTTTTTTTTGAGGCGGAGTCTCACTCTGTCGCCCAGGCTGGGGTGCAATGGCGCTATCTCGGCTCTCTGCAAGCTCCGCCTCCCGGGTTCACACCATTCTCCTGCCTCAGCCTCCTGAGTAGCTGGGACTACAGGCACCCGCCACTGCGCCTGTCTAATTTTTTTTGTATTTTTAGTAGAGACGGGGTTTCACCGTGTTAGCCAGGTTGGTCTCTATCTCCTGACCTTGTGATCCACCCGCCTCTGCCTCCCAAAGTGCTGGGATTACAGGCGTGAGCCACCGCACCCGGCTAATTTTCTTAAATGAAAATCATCCAGTCAATAAGCTGCAATTTAGTGCATGTCATGTGGCTGGTGCTATACAGGACTAAACTGGGCACTAAATGTGTGTCAGGTACTGTGCTAGGCACATTCCAACAACCCAGTGAGGTAGGGATTACGATTCCCATTTAAAGGTGGGGAAGCTTCAGAAAGGTGAAGTTGCAGAGCCAGGATTCAAACTTTAGCCGGCCTGGCTCCAACCCCCATATATAATAACTCTGACTTGACCATGGTGTTACACTTCTTGAGGTTGTCCAGGCTCATGTGCAAGCTGTCTTATAAACCTTACTGGTTAATTAGAGGATTGCTGTGTTTCTCACCATAAGCCATTAGCAGTAAATGAGTAAGTATTGAAGTTTTGGTGAAGGCTCAACGTCAGAAAGCTTAGCTCAGCAATAACGTGGTTCTTCCTTGAATATCAGCTGTGGGCAATAGGGGCTGGACACCCACCCACGTCCATAGCTGCCAGTATTTATGCTGACCCAACACTTAGGCAGGGCTCAGCCTGGGACGCGGGTGCCTGTGGTAGGGGAGCAAGCACTAATTTCTACATAATTTGAATCTTCAGCTTCATGCTGTTTTTTTGGCTAATGATACTTTGTCACTAAATCACTGTAGACTTTGCAAAGTGCCTCCTCCATAATCTTATGTGATCTTATACCTGGAGGCACACAAGGTAGGTGCTATTGTTCCTGTTTCATAGGTGAGGAAACTAAGATGCAGGGAGGCTGAGCAAAATGCCCCAAATTACAGTCAATTACGGCAGAACAGGGACTCCCATCTGCTTTCTGCTGCCTTTCCAATGACCTACATCTGCCTACCAGCACCTTGACTGTGGGCCCAGGGAGAGGAGTCTAACCGCCTTCCAGAGCTGGAGAGGTAAGTATTGGGGGAGAAAAAGAAAAAAGACAACAGCTATTGTGTTTTTCTATGGGAAGTGCTGTACAAAATTTGATTATCTCCAGATTCCAAGCCAAGCCTGGCAGCTGGGCTAGTACCTAATTCTTAGGCTTGCCCATGCATGGAGGAAAGTGGGATACTGAAGACATATAAGGCATTATTGCTGCATTAATGAAGGAGCGTGCAGTGATTGCACTGTGAAATTTACCTGGCAGCTCAGCAGGGAAATTGCAGCTAATTAATTTTGCCTGACTTTATGGAAGCTTCCCATTTTTAATCCTCTCTCTGCTTTATGCCAGAACGTGAGTGAGGGGGATGTGGATGGAAATGTAATCTGTTACTTGCAAAGTAGCTTCTATGTGTGGTGGCCTGGCATTTACTCCATAGCCCACCCTCATTTTCCAGCATAGATATTCTCTTCTCATGGGGCCTGGGCGGAAAGAAAGAGGGTTTCATTTCAATTCCAGCAGAACTGCAGAGGAATTGAAAATAAGGAATTCAGAGAAGGAAGAAGAGGATTTAAGAGGCTGGCTGTGCAGATTTGATGGAGAAATTCAGAGCATATTTTTGGAGCTGGAAATGTTCTCAGAAGTCATCTATTCGATCCTATCGATTCTAGCCCTTCCTTGTAAAGTGTGGCAATCTCTGAGTCAGTCTGGACTGTGACCGAGGAAATTGACCTGTAAGAGGTGAGCTTAGACAAGGGCCCATGGAGCGATTATTGTCCAGTGCTTGATAAGGCCTAAGGATTGGGGGCGACATCTGAAAATGATCTGTGGCTGTAAGGATGGAAAACAGCATCTGATCCAGGCAGGTCATTTAGATCTGAACTGAACCATGATTAACTATATCTAGATACTCTGGCTGGCGGAGGGACCCACATTGGGCTGACGTTGAGGATCCAGCCTGGGCTGCTGCACCTTCTTAGTCTTCAGGCCTAGGGAGTGGAGCAGCAAGGGTTCCTCCAGCTGTGACTACATGTCCCCAAGGCATGCCAAAGCCCCTTTTAGGGAATCATAAGAGAATGCATTGCAGATCAAAACCAGGGGCCATCCCCAGGCCTAAGCCATTTTACAGAATTCTCTTTTCTTCTTTTGCTGGGCCCTGTCTTTTTTAGTGTTCCCACCAGTCATTCTGTTCCGTAGCCTGGGTGAGTGGTACTGATATAGTTTGGATATTTGTCACCTCCAAATCTCATGTTGAAATTTGATCCCCAATGTTGGGGGTGGGCCTGGCGAGAGGTGTTTGGGTCATGGGGGTGGATCCCTCATAAATGGCTTGATGCCATCCTAGGGATAATGAATGAGTTCTCTGTTAGTTCTCATGAGATCTGATTAAAAAGAGCCTGGAACTTCTTTCTCTCTGTTTCCACCTCTCACCAGATGATGCTCTCCCCTTTCCCTTCCACCATGTGGAAGTTTCCTGAAGCAGATGCCAGCATCGTGCTTCTTGTACAGCTTGCAGAACCGTGAACCAAATAAATCTCTTCTCTTTGTAAATTACCCAGCCTCGGGTATGCCTTTATAGTAGTGCAAATGGACTAAGACAGATAAGAAGTAGGCTTCCCAAGTCTCTCCATTCTTGCTGCCCTGGTCTCTGGTTTTGGCCCCCCTTAGGAATGATCTTCTCTAAGCATTTCTTCTAATCCCTCCCTCCCACCTCCACATTTCACAATTGCCAGAGCCACAGGTCCCTGGAGCACTTGATTGTCCCCGTGTGAGCAGCCAGTACCGCGCAGGAGAGAACTTTGGCAGGAACACCGTGCACATCTGCAGCACAGCAGGAAGGTTACCAGCTTGGCTGAGGCTGGGGTTCAGCCATCTAGAGAAATGTGAAGGGGAACTAGCCTTGCCTCTTCCCTCCCAGGGCCTCAGAGGTTAGGAGAAAGCATGTCACCTCAGGGAGAACATTCTGAACTACCGGGTTCCCTGTTCATGAAGCTTCTGGCTACCCAGGACAACCCTGAGGGAGGCCAAAGGTTTTTACCCATTGGTGTGAATCCGTGGGTGCAGGTACTGGGTGGAGAGAAGGGGTATTCCAGGCACAGAGAAAGGCAGAGGCAGGTAGGAGCAGGACATATTTGGAGAAGTGACTGGGGTGCAGAACACAAAGGGGGTTATCAAGTTGATGAGTCTATAGTAGTTGGCAGGGGCAGCTCACGAAGGTGGTGCTTCTTGACAAGGGACTTGGATTTAGAAGTACAAGAACCACTGAAGATTTTCTTTTTCCTTATTAGATTTTCAAAATGTAATAACTTTTTACTTTTTTATATTTTTAAGGTGTACCACATGTTGTTTCCACATAGTAAAATAGTTACTATAGTCAAACAAATCAATGTATTCATCATCTCACATAATTACCCTTTTTTTGGTGTATGGCAAGAGCACCTAAAATCTATTCTTTAAGCCAAAATCCTGAACACATTATTAACTATAAAGCTGTCACATGGATATTAGATCTCTACACGTGTTCATTCTACATGCCAATAACATTTTATTTAGGAGTAGTTTTTAGATTTACAGAAAAATTGCCAAGATAGAACAGAAAATCTCCATTTCCCCTGTGATACTGTGATCTGATTGGAACTATGTATAGGCATACCTCAGTTTATTGCATTTCACTTTATTATGCTCTGCAAATATTGGGTTTTTTACAAATTGAAGTTTGTGGCAACCCTGTGTCAAACAAGTGTATCAGTGTCATTTTTCAACAGCATGTGTTCGCTTTGTGTCTCTGTGTCAAATTTGGTAATTCTTGTAATATTTCAAACTTTATTATTATACCTGTTTTGGTGATCTTTGCCTAGTGATCTTTAATGTAACCATTTTAATTGTTTTGGGATGCCATGAGCCATGTCCATATAAGATGGTGAACTTAATCCATAAATGTTGTATGTGTTCTGACTTCTACCTATCAGCCATTCCCCCAGCTCTTTCCCTCTCCCTAGTCCTCCCTTTTCTCTGAGAGGCCAATTAGTAATCCTACAATGACCTCTAAGTGTTCAAGTGAAATGATGTGTTGGACATCTCTCACTTTAAATCAAAAGCTAAAAATGATTAAGCTTAGTAAGGAGGGCTTGTCGAAAGCCAAGACAGCCTGAAAGCTAGGCCTCTTGCTCCAGACAGCCAAGTTGTGAATGCAAAGGAAAAGGTCTTGACGGGAATTAGAAGTGCTACTCCTGTAAACACATGAATGATAAGAAAGTGGAACAGGCTTATTGGTGATATGGAGAAAGTTTTAGTGATCTGAATAGAAGATCACACCAGCCACAACATTCTCTTAAGGCAAAGCCTCATCCAGAGCACGGCTCTGGCCCTCTTCCATTCTGTAAAGGCTGAGAGAGGTGAAGAAGCTGCAGAAAAAAGATTCAAAGCCAGCAGAAGTTGGTCCGTGAGGTTTAAGGAAAGAGGCCATCTCCATAACACAAAACACAAGATGAAGCCACAAGTGCTGACGTACAAGCTGCAGCAAGTTATCCAGAAGACCTAGCTGAGATCACTGATGAAGGTGGCTACCCTAAACAGATTTTCAATGTCCATAAAACAGCATTCTATTGGAAGAAGATGCCATATAGGACTTTTATAACTAGAAAGAAGTCAGTACCTGGCTTCATTGCTTCAAAGGACAGGCTGACTCTTGTTAGAGGCTAGTGCAGCTTGTGACCTTAAGTTGAAGCCAGTGCTCATTTGCCATTCTGAAAGTCCTAGGGGCCTTAAGAATTATGCTAGAGCTACTCTGCGTGTGCTGTATCAATGGAACAACAAAGCCTCGATGACAGCACATCTGTTTATATAATGTGCTTTACCAAGTATTTTAAGCCCGCTGTTGAGACCTACTGCTCAAAAAGAAAAGATTCCTTTCAAAATATTACTGCTCACTGACAATGCAAGTAGTCACCCAAGAGCTCTGATGGAGGTATACAAGGAGATGAATGTTTGTGTTCATGCCTGCTAACACAACACGCATTCTGCAGCCCATGGGTCAAGATGTAATTTTGACTTTCAAGTCTTATTATTTAAGAAATGCATTTCATAAGGCTATTATCATTTCTGTAGATGGTGATTATTCTGATGGATCTGGGCAAAGTAAATTGAAAAACATCTAGAAAGAATTCACCATTCTAGATGCCATTTAGAACATTTGTGATTTGTGGGAGGAGATTAAAATATCAACATCAACAGGAATTTGGAACAAGTTGCTTCCAACTCTCATAGGTGACTTGGAGGGGTTCAAGACTTCAGTGGAGGAAGTCACTGCAGATGTGGAGGAAGTCACTGCAGATGTGGTGGAAACAGCAAGACAACTAGAATTAAAGTGGAGTCTGGAGATGTGACTGAATTGCTGCAAAACTTGAACGGTTGAGGAGTTGCTTGTTTTCGATGGACAAAGAAAGTGGTTTCCTGAGATGAAATCTCCTCCTGGTGAAGATGCTGTGAATATTGTTGAAATGATAACAAAGGATTTACAATATAACATAAATGTAGTTGATAAAGCAGCAGCAGGGTTTGAGAGAATTGACTCCAATTCTGAAAGCAGTTCTACTCTGGGTAAAATGCTGTTAAACACATGGGCACATAGAATGAAACGACACACGCTGGGGCTTATCAGATGGTGGAGAGTTGGGGGAGGGAGAGGATCAGGAAAAATAACTAATAGGTACTAGTCTTAATACCTGGGTGACAAAATAATCTGTACAACAAACCCCCATGACACAAGTTTACTTATCTAACAAACCTGCACATGTACCCCTTAACTTAAAATAAAAGTTAAAAAAATGGTGTTGAACAGCATCACATGCTACAGAGAAACTTATAATGAAGGGAAGAATCACTTGATGTTGCAAACTTCATTGTTGTTTTATTTTAAGAAATTGCCGCAGCCACCCCAGCCCTCAGCAACTACCTCACTAATGAGTCAGCAGCCATCAACATGGAGGTAAGACCCCCCCACCCCCCCGCGCACCAGCAAAAAGATTATGACTCACTGAAGGCTCCTTAGCATTTTTTATCAATTAAAAAAATACATATATATATATATATATATACACGTATTTTTTTTTTTTAGGAGACAGTCTCGCTCTTCTTGCCCAGGCTGGAGTGCAAAGGTGTGATCTCACTTACTGCAACTCCGCCTCCTGGGTTCAAGAGATTCTCCTGTCTCAGCCTCCCGAGTAGCTGGGATTATAGGTGCGTGCCACCGTGCCTAGCTAATTTTTGTATTTTTAGTAGAGATGGGTTTTCACCATGTTGGTCAGGCTGGTCTTGAACTCCTGACCTTGTGATCTGCCTGCCTTGGCCTCCCAAAGTGCTGGGATTACAGGCGTGAGCCACTGCATCCAGCCAATAAAATATTTTTATTTTTATTTTTTATTTTTATTTATTTATTTATTTATTTTGAGATGGAGTCTCACTCTGTCGCCCAGGCTGGAGTGCAGTGGCGGGATCTTGGCTCACTGCAAGCTCCGCCTCCTGGGTTCATGCCATTCTCCTGCCTCAGCCTCCCGAGTAGCTGGGACTACAGGCGCCTGCCACCACGCCCAGCTAATTTTTCGTAGTTTTTAGTAGAGACGGGGTTTCACCGTGTTAGCCAGGATGGCGTTGATTTCCTGACCTTGTGATCTGCCCGCCTTGGCCTCCCAAAGTGCTGGGAGTACAGGCGTGAGCCACCGCACCTGGCCATAAAGTATTTTTAAATTAAGGTACTATAAACCAAAAAAGTGTCTGAGACAGATATCAATCAAATTAGAGGTTTATTTAGTGAAGTTTGAAGGCGTGCCTGGGAAAAAGAGACACAAGTTACAGTAGGATCTGTGGCCTGTGCTTTTTCTAAAGAAGGTTTTGAGGACTTCAATATATTTTTTATTTTTTTATTTTTTTTGAGACAGAGTCTTGCTCTGTTGCCAGGCTGGAGAGCAGTGGTATGATCTCGGCTCACTGCAACCTCCGCTTCCTGGGTTCAAGCGATTCTCCTGCCTCAGCCTCCTGAGTAGCTGGGACTACAGGCGCGCACAACCACGTCCAGCTAATTTTTGTATTTTTCGTAGAGATGGGGTTTCACCGTGTTGTCCAGGATGGTCATGATCTTTTGACCTCGTGATCCACCCACCTCAGCCTCCCAAAGTGCTGGGATTACAGGCCTGAGCCGAAGACTTCAATATTTAAAGGGGAAAGAGTGGCAGGAGGGAAAGGGGGGAAGAAAAAAAGGAGAGGTTAGGTAGTGAGGTAAGTGGCCACATTTTTGTGAGGCTTTGATTAGCACTCACTGAATCCACATGTTACATGTGAAAGGAGGGGGTGGAGGACCAGTCAATTTTGCATTTGTCTCAAACTCAGTAAATCTATATTTTACATAGGATAAAGTAAATGGAGTAGAGGAAGTCAGATATGCATTTGTCTCAGGATGGGAGGAGGAGTGATTTCTAGTCTTTTTCCATATTTGTGAAGATAAGCTGTTAATTTACATTGTCAGGGCGAGATTCGACAGAATTCTGCTTTTGGATCAAGATTTGGGGGCCCACAAAGAATCTCCTTGTGAGCAATTTGTGAGGGAGGCTACCTGGGGAGATCGGTGACCTTCTTTTATTGCAGCTGTTTAGGAACAAAGGGAAGGTGGTTTCTGCATGACTCAGTTCCCAAGCTTAACTTTTCCCTTTGGCATGCTGAGTTTGGGGTCCCAAGATTTTATTTTTCTTTCACAGTCTGCACATTGACTTTTTTAGACATAATGCCATTCTATACTTTATAGACTACAGTGTAGTATAAAAATAGCCCGGGTGCGGTGGCTCACCTGTAATCCCAGCACTTTGGGAGGCCAAGGTGGGTGGATCACCTGAGACCAGAAGTTTGAGACCAGCACGGCCAATATCGTGAAACCTCATCTCTACTAAAAATACAAAAAAATAGCTGGGCGTGGTGGTGGGTGCCTATAATCCCAGCTACTTGGGAGACTGAGGCGGGAGAATTGCTTGAACCCGAGAGGCAGAGGTTGCAGTGAGCCAAGATCATGCCACTGCACTCCAGCCTGGGTGTGACAGAGCGAGACTCCATTTCAAAACAAATAAAAATAAATAAATACATAAAAATAACTTTGATATGCACTGGGAAACCAAAAAATATTTGTGACTTACTTAATTATGATATTCACTTTACTGAGATAGTCTAGAATGGAACCCACAACATCTTTGAAGCATGCCTATATTTGGTCTTCCTTCTGGGTTGCTGATAGAGCTTCTAAAACCCTTGGAATTTCCTGATTGAAGTGTGAGGAAGATTTTTTTGTTATATATAATAAGCCTCATTCAAACATACCAGAGTCTATGCTAATGAGATGACTCTTGGTGAGCCCAAAGGGAGCCTCAGGATGGGACTGATTGCCAGAGGAAGCAACAATATGATTAGAAGGTTAGACTTTTCAGCCCCACTCCCCAACCTCTAGGGAGGGGCGAGGGGCTGGAGGTTGGGTTTAATTACCAATGATTTAATCAATTATGCCTACACAACGAAATCTCCATACAACTCCTAAAACATGCTGTTTGGAGAGTTTCTGGGTTGATGAGCGCACTGAGGTGCTGGGAGGGTAGTACACCTGGGAAGGGACTGGAAGCTCCATGCTCCTTCCCCCAGACCTTGCCCTATGCATCTCTTCCATTTAGCTGTTCTTGAGTTGTATAAACCAGTAATAGTAAGTAAACTGTCTTCCTGAGTTCTCTGAGCTATTCTAGCAAATGTCCAAAATGAGGAGGGGGCTGTAGGAACAAACCGTCCCCCAACTTTACAGCTGGTTGGTCAACATGGATGTGTACCACCTATGACTTGTAATTGACATCTGAAATGAGGGCAGTCTCATGGGACTGCTCCCCTAATCTGTGGAGTCGGCATTAACTTTGGGTAGATAGTATCTGAAGTGAATTAAATTATAGGATAACCAGTTGGTATACAAGGAGTTAGAGAATTGATTGGTGTGAGAAAAAGTCCACACAGTTGGTTTCAGAAGTGTTCTGTGGGTAGAAATTGATCATAGTAGTAGTAGCCCCAGACCCAGTTTCCCCTATTATTAACATTTAATATGTTATACTGTATGTTTGGTATATTGATCATAATAAAGCAATATTGATTTATTAACTTCAGTTATTATTATTAGCTGAAGTGTACACTTTATTCAGACTTCCTTAGTTTTTACATAATGTCCCTTTTCTGTTCCAGGATCCCATCGGGGACACATATTACATTTACTCATCATGTCTCCTTAGGCTCCTCCTGGGTATGACAGTTCCTTAGGTTTTAAACAGGGCACTACATTGTCAGATATGAGTTTTGGAAAACTCTGGGACTAGAGTGATGACGAATGGGCGCCCTCTCACACATCGGCCCCAGGGTATAAAGAATGACAGGTAGACTTGCTTGCTTCTGGGTCTCTTAGTCTGTGGGGCAGGAGTCAAGGGAGGTAGGCTGTGCTGCCCACTGGGGCAGGGCCACACTCTACCTTTTCCAGAAGCAATGTTAACAAATGTATTCCTTTTATCTAGATTTTATTAATGTATGAAATGACCTTTGCAAAAACTTTGACAGTGTGAGAAATTCACCACAGCAGAATCCATCTTGCATCTGACCTCATACACTGTCCTTGCTCATTTCTTGATGTAGGCCAAGCTAACTATGGAAGGAACTTTATTTATAGTTCAACTTTAAAACAAAGATGATAATAGCCCCTTCCTGAAACTAACCCCCTCTTTGCTCAGGGACTGAAACCACCTTTGTAAAACTAACAAATCGGCCACAAGGTTAGAATTATGATTCAGGGTTTGTAACCTCCCCAGTTGTTCCTATAGATAACATCAGTATTATAAAACCTAAAACTGATGTTTGAGGTATCTTTCAGACTTTGCATTTTGATGGACCAGCTGGTGCCACCTGGGCTAGTAACCCATACCAAGAAACTAGGGGGTCTTGTGACTCCCATCCAGGAACTGATTCAGTGCAAGAAGACAGCTTCAATCATCAAGAAGATAGCTTTGACCCCCTATGATTTCATCCCTGACCCAACCAATCAGCATTCTCCATTCTGTAGCCTTCTGCCTGCCAGACTATACTTGAAAAACCCTAGTCTCAGAAGTCTTAGGGAAGTGGATTTGAGATTTATCTCCCATCCTTCCACTTGGCTGGCTCTGTGATAAGTATACTCTTTATTTGGTGCAAAACCTGCTATTCTCAGTGCATTGGCTTTCCTGGACAGCAGGCAGAAGGACCTGTTGGGCTGTAACATATGTAGTTGTTTTATTTGTGGTCATTTAATCCATTTTGTGTCTGTAGATATTTCCTACTTCACTCTTTAGTTTATTCATTTTAATCTCTTTTTTTCTGGATTAGTCTTGTCAGAGTTCTATGTTGTTAATTTCCTCAAAGAACTAGCTGTTGGTTTTATGTAATGTCTACTTTTTTTTAGTTATTGGTTTCATTTGTTTTTGCTCTTATGTATATCATTTCTTCTTTATTCTTTTATTTTTTCTGTTATACCTTTTGCAACTTCTTAAATTGAATGTTTTCAGTGTCTTTATTTTGCTTGATAAATTTCTGAATATCTGAAAAGTTCTGCTTTAATTGTTCTCATGGATTTAGAAATGGAGTGTTTGTTACTGAGTTTTAAGTACTTATTAATTTAATTTTTGATTTTCTTAGCCCAAAAGTTATTTGTAATATGTAATCCTGTTTGCTGGTCATAGGAATTTTGAACCTAACTTTTTGTTGGTAATTTCTTTCTTTCTTTTTTTTTTTTTTTTTTAATTGAGACAGAGTCTCACTCTGTTGCCCAGGCTGGAGTGCAGTGGTGCAATCTTGGCTCACTGCAACCTCTGTTGCCTGGGTTCAAGTGATTCTCGTGCCTCAGCCTCCCAAGTAGCTGGGACTACAGGGCTGTGCCACCATGCCCGGCTAATTTTTTTTATTTTTAATAGAGACGGAGTTTTGCCATGTTGGCCAGGCTGATCTCAAACTCCTGACCTCAAGTGATCCTCTTGCCTTGGCCTCCCAAAGTGCTGGGATTACCGGCATGAGCTACTGTGCCCGGCCCTTTGTTGGTAATTTCTAATGTTATTGTATTATGAGCAGAGAACATACTCTCTGTGATAATGTGATAATAAGTCCTTAAAATTATTGAGACTTCCTTTGTGGGCTAATATATGGTCATTTTTCGTGTATGTATAACATTTAATTAAAAACGAATATTCTGTATTTACTGGGTATAGAATTCTCTATATTCAGTAATTCCGTTATTCAGATATTCTGTATTTTTACTTTTTTCCTGCTTTATCCTTTTCTGAGAGGGGGTATTACATTCTCCATATAATTGTTGATTTATATGTTTCTTTCCATAGTCTGTCTATTGTTTCTTTACATATTTTGAAATTATATTGGAAGGTATGTAATATTCATGGCTATATTTCTTTACTCTGCTATTCCTTTTGATCAATAGATAACACTTCTCTGTGTTTTGAATTTAAGTTTGTCAGACATTAAGATTGTCCCCTCAACTTTCTTTTGCTCCATATTTGCCTGGGGTATCTTTTCACAGTCTTTTATTTTTTAAGGTTTTCTCTATTCTTTGGTTGCAAATTTGTCTATCTAAGACAACGACTGTATTGGTGAATATTGTTTTCTTTAATCCAGTGTGGGAGTCTCATTTTAAATTGGTAAGTCTAACCCTGTAGAAAAAAAAAATTCAAGACCTTCCAAATTTATTATGCAAAAGGGAAAAGTTAGGCCCTGAAAACTAAGTCATGTAACATGGCTGTTTTTCTTCTCTGGTGCATGACCATTGCTTCCTGGCCTTTTGTCAAGATGTTATCCATTAATGAGATTCCCTCTTCTTTATCCAAACCTAGACTACATGACGTTGGGGATAGAGAACGTTGTGATTATTACCTCTTTAGAACAGAATGTAAGCAACCCCCTCAGAGAGTAATCAATAGTTGCCAATGAAATCTTATATCTGTATGTTAGCTTTTGTATGGAAAATGTTGTAATTCTGTTCCACGCCTTTGTTTTTGCCTATATAAATGATCTTCATTTTCCCCCACGATGGGAGCACTGATCAGCATTCTTTGGTGTAGGTGTGTCCCCAGAAAGCCACCCTCACATTTTGTGCTTGAATAAACTCTTTTAACTAGATCCTGAGCCTTTTGATTATTTTCGATTGACAACCCATTTGGATTTTTAAAATTATTACCATTAGATTAGAACTTATTTATGTCTGCCATTTTATGTCATGTTTTCCATTTGGTGTGTGCATTTTTTCTTTTTACTGTTTTTCATTGGGTAGGTTGAGTTTTATTGTGCTGATATAAAAGCCATATATTCTATTTTGCTCTTGTTGTGGTTTCTTTCTCTTGTCTGATTGAATTGGCTCTCATCTCCAGGGTGTGTATTAGTGATAGTGGGCATCCTTGTATTGTATCTGACTGCAGTGCGAATGCCTCCAGACTTTCCCTGTTAAATATGATGTATACTATGGAGAATGTACTCTTTATACTATCAGAGTTAAGGATAAACCTCATTTACCCCCCTCCCCACATGGCTGCAATGCATAAGGAGTTTAATAGTCATTTACTTTCATACTTTCTTACTTGCCAGGCCTTCTGAAAGAGCACACATTTTCTTTTGCAGAAACAGTGGTTTATCACATAATAACATTTGCAATAACATTAAATAAAATTGACATTTTATTAATATTGAACATCTGTGGCAGAGAGAGTTGTTTACCCTAATATTCGTTTCCTTTTTATAAAAACCTTGATTTTCACCTGGGTACACATGGCTGCATGAAATAAAGACTACACTTCCCATCTTCCCTTGCAGTTGGGTGAGGTCACATGATTAGATCCAGCCAATAGGATTAACAGGCATTATTATATAATACATTTAAGATGCTTTGCTCCTTCCTCCTCCCCTCCCTTCCTTGCTGCTTATAATATGAATGTGACAGCTGGAGATTCATGTTGTATCATGAGCAGGAGGGCTGTCCCCTACAAATGGTGATAGATGATTCTGCAGATGCTATTCCAGCCCTGTCCTTCTTACATTGAAACAAGAGAAACATAAACATCTATGTGGTTTAAGCCACTGTCATTTTGTGTCATGTTAGTTGCAGCTGAACTTAATCCTAACTAATGTAGTTAGGATTTTGGGGTGTTGTTCATTTCTTATTGCTCGACGTTTTATACTATGCCTTTATGTTTTTATTTTGATTTAACATTTGGTCTGGGAAGCTAGTGTTTGGACTCATCAGATATGAGCTTGAATTTTAGTTTTGTCAGTTACGAGCACAAAACTAGGAATATTTTCTATCTTTTTGCCTTAATTTATTTATTTATAAATGGTTAATAGCATGATTGTTTTTAGATTAAATCTTTGTAGCAAGATGCCTGTCGTATAATAGCAACTTGAAGCATTTTTTTTTTGCTATTCCTCTCTTTATGTACTCTCCATGCTAAGGAGTCATTTCCTAACCCTGCAGAATAATATTCCAAAATATTTCACATAAAAATGATTCTGTTTTGGCACTGAGTGACTTATACCATGATTTCTGCCCCATTCGATAGCTTTTCTTGATCTTTTTCTTTTTGTTTTCCTGTGAGCCTCAGGGTACCATGTCTCACTTGCTAATGCCAAGGGTAAGAGTTATTATAGCTCATGATCTATTGCCATTAAATATCATTTTCAAGGAAGATTTAAAAAATACATGCTTGAAGTCTTTAATAAGGGGGAAGAATGAATTTCAAGAGTGTTCTGCAGTGAATTATTAGGTTGGTGCAAAAGTAATTGTGTTTTTGCCATTACTTTCAATGGTTGGTTTCAATAGTTTGGTTGAATTCAGTTCAGTTCATTTGGTGCGACCCACCCTCCAGCTATGTGTTCAAGAGAGCAAGACCTTTGCTCTCGAGTAGTTCTGTGGGATGTCATATGTTAAGTAAATAAGTTTGCTAAAGGCTGTAAAACATCCAGAGGAAGGCTGAGTGCTACAGGGAGAATGGAGGTGTTAGTAAGTGTGTCAACATCAGACTGTACCTGAAGAGGAGTTTCAAGAGGAGTGGAGATTTTCTAGGTAGGTGACTGGAAATGAACTAGGTAGGCCTGGGAAGGGACATTGAGACGGGAGGACAGCAGACACCGAGGAATACAGGTGTGAAACTGCAGGGCCTGCTTGGGTACCCAGGAGTGGCTCTGTATTGCCTGGTACAGTCAGCACAGTGCCCACTGTGTGCGTGCAGTTCTAGGGAGGATTGATTGAAAGCGATGGACAGAGGTAGAGGGTAGGGGGTTTTCAGGGATGAGAGACTAAATTATCTAACTACCAAGGCAGCAGAGTTGAATGAGAATTGGATTGTGCAGGGGGAAACCACAGACAGGCAGACCAGCTTGAAGCTGCTACAATCATTCGTGTGACAGATGACAAGGGTTGGAGTCAGGTGATGCCATCCAGGGATACAGAGAAGAGTGCATGTTTGAGACCTTAAGGAGACAAAATTGACAGCACTTGGCTACTGACTGGATGTGGGATTTCAGGGCTACCTCCCACTCTCTGGAGTGGGTGACTTAATGAAAGATGAGGCCATCAACCAGGACACAGCATCTGGGAGGAAGGAGACAGTGAGGGAAGACAACAAGCTCCGTTTTGGACATGTTAAGAGGATGCTGCCTTTTCAGAACCCTTTTCCTCACTACTCAGATCTTGTCCTGATTTTTTATAGGGTGCTTCATGAAACCAACTGTCACTTACCTGCCGCTGTTGTGGGGGCATTGTAGCAGCTCGATTTCAAACATTAGGTGATTTAGGAGAAATATTTCTCCTAAAGTCTTAGAAGTCTTAGAAGAAAGCCCAGAGCAGAGCAGTGTGGGGGAAATGGCAGAGGATTTTAAGAAGGCAGATATGGTGCATTGCAATCCTGGCTGCTCAGATCCTAGGAAATTCGTACAGCAAGAGCAAATGAGTCTCAGCAGACAGAAACTGAGGAATCCCTGTGTTAGGGAAAGCATATAGGGACAGATAGAAGGAGGAGGCCATGGCTACCGCTCACACAGGAGAGAACTGAGAGATGCTGGGAGCACGGCCTGTTGCCCAATCCCAGACCAGGCCAACCCTGGGAGCAGCAGGAGTGATTTCTGCTTGGGAGCAGCCAGTGAGCACTGTCCTTAGCCCAGGAACAATGAGAGGGGGATTGACCACTCGGTGGGAAGAATGAGAGGTGGGAACATGAAGAGAAAGGCAAGGCAGTGCCTGGTGCCAGGGGGCATTCCTGTGCTCCCTAATGAGGCTCTGGCTCGCTGTCCCCACAGCCAGCCTCACTGCACCACACGCTGACCTAAGGTTGGCCTCACCTGCCACTCTCATGCCAACTGAACAGCCCCCTCTCTTGGCCAAAGGGATCCCAGAAAAATCGTAAAAACTGAGTTCCCAGCCATGATGGAACAGGAGGTCAGAGGTGCCTCATGATACCCCCTCCCAAAACAACAGCATGAATGTTAAAATAGAGATCATAAGCCTGACACAATGGCCTCTTTGTGGCAATAAGAAACCAAATTATAAACAGGACCTACAGCCATGCCAGGCAAGGATTAAGTCACACACCCCTGCATTTAAAGAATAACTGCATTCTGACTGCCACAAGGGTTTTCTTTGTCTCTCGCAACTAAACAAGCACTAGCCTTGAGATAAGCAATGTTAAAACAATTGTAGCTCAGCCACTGACAGATACTAACTGACCCCCATTCCATAAGCTGTAACTACAGCTTTGACTGGACAAGAGACTGATTTTAGTAACTTTCTCCTGATATGAGACCACTGATCAAGGACTGGTTCTGGCCAGTTTACAGAAGCTGCACACTTGAGTGCCTTCGTGTCCCTTCTTCACCTTTTGATGTGTAGGGCCTAATTGTAATACATTTAAATGTTAAGCCTCCACCCCAAAGTGATCGTGTGATGCATGTAACCTGCATGCTTGTTCAGCACTCATGTATCAGGACCCTCTCTGTGAATATTCATAGCTCCTTTTATAACCTGTTAAATATGTATGCTTGGCCAACCCATCTGGCATAAATTCCTATTGCACTCTCCCCTCCCTTGAAGTACCTGCTTCTGGGCCCTGCTGGAGGCTACACTTCCCAGCTGGTTGGGATGGCCACCCTGCAAGCTATAACTCTTTATAAGAAATAAAGTTGGCCAGGCATGGTGGCTCATGCCTGTAATCTCAGCACTTTGGGAGGCCGAGGTGGGCGGATCATGAGGTCAGGAGATTGAGACCATCCTGGATAACATGGTTAAACCCTGTCTCTACTAAAAATACCAAAAAAAAAAAAAAAAAAAAAAAATTAGCCGGGCGTGGTGGCAGGCACCTGTAGTCCCAGGTGCCTGGGACTACTCAGGAGGTTGAGGCAGGAGAATGGTGTGAACCCAGGAGGCGGAGCTTGCAGTGAGCCAAGATCGCACCACTGCACTCCAGCCTGGGCGACAGAGCAAGACTCCATTTCAAAAAAAAAAAAAAAAAAAGAAATAAAGTTATCCTTTCTTAATTTATAAATTGCGTGATTTTTCCATTGCCACTTCCCATGAGAAAGCACCACTTTGGCAGGAAAGTAAGACGTCAGGAAGGAAAATGAAGAAAGTTTATTTCACTTCCTATTGGAAAAATTAGCTAAAGTCCTAATTTGTAATGGGTGCCATTTGTGTTTTAATTAAGATTTTACATATGTGATTAATCAGTAGCCCTTTCAATTTCCAGCCAAACTCCTGGAATTTTGGCAATGTTAGGTGCATTTATGATGTGGAGGGGCAGGCATGCAGAGTCAAGATGTCTATGTTTCGGCTAATACATTTGTCCATTTAAAAACATCTTTGTTTTATTTTGTATTTTTTTAGCTTTTTTTTTGAGGCAGAGTCTTGCTCTGTTGCCCAGGCTGGAGTGCAGTGGCACCATCTTGGCTCACTGCAGCCTTGACTTCTTGGGCTCAGGTGATCCTCCCACCTCAGCCCTGCTGAGTAGCTGGGACCACAGATGTGTGCCACCATGCCCTGCTAATTTTTATGTACACATATATATTTTTTTTGGTAGAGATGGGGTTTTGCCATATTGCCCAGGCTTATCTCAAACTCCCGGGCTCAAGCAATCTGCCTGCCTGTTACCCCGAAAGTGCTGGGGTAACAGGCGTGAGTCACCGTGCCTGGCCAAAACATTTTTTTCTTTTTTTTTTTTTTTTTATTTTTCTTTTTTTCTCCTTATTTTGTTTTTTTTTTTTTTTTTATTATTCTTTAAGTTTTAGGGTACATGTGCACAACATGCAGGTTATTTACATATGTATACATGTGCCATGTTGGTGTGCTGCACCCAGTAATTTGTCATTTAACATTAGGTATATCTCCTAATGCTATCCCTCCCCCCTCCCCCCACCCCACAACAGGCCCCAGTGTGTGATGTTCCCCTCAAACATTTTTTTCTAAAAATTAAAGTAATTCTGCTGGGAATTTATCTGACACTACATAGGGACAGCATAGAACAGCTACACATAGTGCTCTGTTCAACTGGCCAGAAGTCTGAGAATTAAGGCACCCTTTGCTGCTCACTATTTAATTAGGAAGGTAATTTATTTATGAGGACTGCTTTAGCTCCAGTAACTTGAGGGCCAGTTTTCTAATGAGACAGTCACAGAATGTGATGTTTTTTACACGGAGGGGAGATGTGGTGAGGGGCAGAAGCATGGGTCACATAGACCTGAACTGGAATCCTGCCTCGGTCACTTATTTGCTGAGTGACTTTGGCAAGTTACTTGACCTTCCTGTATCTTGGTCACTTTGCTTACAAAGTGGAGGGGTAACATCTGCCTTGTGGGACTGCTGCAAGGATTAGATGAGATAAAGCATGTAAAACACATAGTAGGTGTTTAATCAAGGTGATGTCACCCTGCGAGAGAGGCTATATTACAAAAAGCACAGTGACTGGGAGCAGAGGACCTAGACTCAAGTGCCATGTCCAGTCCTCCCAGCTCTGAGAAGCTCTGATCTCCCCTGCGTCTCACTTGCATTATCTACGAAAGAGGGCTAATATAATTGTACTCTCTAATTAACTCTTGCAGATGCTATGAGGCCCCCAACTCACAATATTGTTGAAAGTCCTCTAAGAGCCACAAAGCCTTCTTAGTTATCAGGATAGAACGATGTTTATGAATGGGCAAGAAGGAGAAGGGAAGGTATGTGTTTGTATATAGAGGGTTTGTGTGGGGAAGACATTCATTCAATATTCAACAGATGTTTGTTAGTGTAGGCTTAAGCTGTGTCTACTGTAGGAGTTAGGACTGTGTGGAGGTGGAATTTGACCCTGGAGTTGATTCAGTGGAGAACATTGGGATCCCTCTGAACATGAACTCATCAAGAAGGGAGATGACATCATGGCGCATATGCCTCGCTTCAAGCCAAAGCACCACTGTGGGAGAGGTGAGGTGGGATTCCCAGGGGACTGTCCTGCACTCCAGACCCTTTTGACAGATGCCTGAGCCCTAAAGTAAGTGGGTCTAACTGGGCTATATATTTATGGTCTCCTGCAACCTAGCAGCAAATCTGACACTCTCAGTTACCAGACCCTCAGTAGTTATTCTGAATGCATGAATGTGTTGAGTGTGTCTCTGTGGGACACAGAAAAGACCAGGCACCGATAGAGATTTGGGATTGGAGATGGCAGCAATTGACCTGCAATGCCCTTGGCATTGGGCTTCGGTGTCTAGTGAGCAGCAACTGGACCTTGCTGGGCATTGGGTCATGGCTCCCACTTTATGAGTGGGTAAAGTTGGTAGGTATCACCATGACAACTCTTGGAGGACAGGAAGCAAATCACAGACATCTTAGCTGAGAGGGCTTGTTCTCAAAGCTCATGTTGGAGAAGGATTGACTGGAAGGACCTTTAGAGAGATCAAAGTTTCCATAGAATGAATGAAGCTGTAGTTAGAGAAGTACTTTCTGGATGCCCAGGCTGATGTGTTGTAACATGTGTCCAATGCATGTTGGAAAGAAACAAAGGTAAAGGATGAATCATCTCAATTCCTAACACAGTTATAGTCTCATGGAGGAGACATGTACATTCCTGATGTAGGATGGGAGGAAACAACTAGATTCAGAAGAGAAGCCCAGAACAGGTGACATGAGTATTCAAAGGAGGATGAGATGGCATCTGGCTCAAGATATCAGTGAAGGGGTGGGCTTTGATCTGGGCATGGAGGGCTGGGCAGAATTGGATGAGGGAGATGAGGCAGAAGGTCATCTGGACACCAGTTCTGGATCCCTAGAGGGAGAACCCAATTGCCCCCACCCTCTGTGTCATTTCTCCATGCTATTCCTCTCAACTGTGGCTATGAGGGAGGTGAGGTCCTGAAGGGAAGAGATGGCTGCAGGTGATGCCACTTCTTGTGCCTCTACTCATTTCTTTAGAAAGACATCTCAGGTATACATCCCATCCTCGGGGCTATTCTAACAGGCTCTTTACACCTAGAAGCTGGTGATCTGGCTTCCACAGAGCCACCTAATTAATCTCCCAGAAGCATGACTCCATTTATGTTATGACCCTGCTCCAAAATCTTCACTGATTCCCAGTTGACTCTGCAAAGTTTTAAAAACATCCTTGATGACAGGAATTTCTAAAATACCGGGACTCCTCTCCAGAAATTCCAAACCAGTGCATCTAGTTGGAGGCATAGTGATTGATTTCCTTAACAAGCATGCCAGGTGATAACTAGCCTCAAGCATATTAGAGAAACCAATTATCCTGCAGAATGAATTCTAAAATCTTGAATTTAAGACTGGAGAATCTGGTAAAGTGGTCTGCAGATAAAGAAGAATAAATTGATATTTAGGGAGAAGCAAAAATGCAAGAGAGGGGAAAGTCTCACCAATTTTCCACTTTTCACTAGACACCCTGTGTTCTTACAATAAACATTCTTTATTTTGCCTGAAAATACATGATCTTCTACAATGTGCAACCAAGAACTCATGACAAATAGAGGAAGGATTGCAAGAAGTCATCATTCTGGTGTGATGGGCACACAGACTGGTGAGTGCACTGTCACCTCCTGTGACCCTGTCTCCTAGAGGGTAATTTGGCTCTGACACCCAATACCCTCTCCTTCTTCCCTTTTCTGTCTTCACTCTGAACTTAAGCATAAGGAATTTAGAGTTTATCTGATTGTGGAATCAACTTGATCTAGTTCAAACTCATGTTTGTTGCCTGAATCTCAAGTCCTTGGGTGTCTCCCATCTCTGTTTGGAATAGAAGTTCCCCCTAGAAATGAAGGGGAACTCACTACTTCCAATTTTAAAGCATTCCAGCGGTTAAAACGTTATTCTCTTATCCCTTTCCATTGAACCCAGCTCTGCCCTCTAAAATGACCCACGATAATTCCATTGTCTTTTCCACATTATTTTTCAGCAATCTGAGTTCAGATATAATGTGTATTTAGTCTTCTCTTCTATAAACTTCTGGATGTTTAAGCACAATGCCTCACATTATTTTGAGTTAGCTCGACTTCGGGTTGCTCTTCTTTGGGAATGCTCTAATTTGTCAGTTTTCCTCTTAAAGGAAATGTAGTCCTCCACATGAAGTCTGATCAAGAAAGAGAAGCATCTCTCTTACTTTGGCATTGAAAGTTTGTTAAACTAAGTGTGTGTGTATGTGCACGTGATAGATCTGCGTGACAGTGGTTAGTCAGTGGATCCTTTGATTTCACACTTGGTGAATGGTAACTTTGTAGCCGGCATATCACAGTGCCCTTCCAGTCAGTCAGAACCTTTGACCCTTTTTGCAGGTGCTGCCGACAAGCCAGGTCTGCCAGCAAATGTGCTCCATGTCTACAGACACAGCTATGTCTTTAGAGGGACATCAGGGTGCTGAGTTTTCTTCTGGGAGATAGTTAAGTCTGGAATTAGGACAATCTCAGGTTAGAAGTCTGGCTCCTGGGTTCCGGTTTTGGCTCTGCCATTGGCTCACACTGTGGCCTTGTCTCCACTTTCCTCTCACTGAGCCTCAGTGCTTCCTTCTCTATAACATAGGACGCCAGGACTGTAATATTGGCTCCCAGCCGATCTCTGGTTTGATCTATGCAGAAGGCAGAGGTGTGCTCAGAAAAATGTATCCATGCCCCTAATTCCCATTGCTAATGGGGAGAGGTGGGGAAAGGGATGCTTAGGAACAGAAACATTTTCTAGTGAAGCCCCTGTTTTCTGCAGCTCTACCCCTGACATATACCAGGAACTTGCAAGGCAGAGGGATGAGGCAGAGTGGAAAGGCCTGGCCCCAGACACCAAACATGTGTCCCCTTTCCTCACCATTAGGCAGATGCTTGGGACTGGTTATCCTGGCCAGGCAGTTGAAGAAATCCTCCATCCCCTAGCTTCCAAAGGAACATAATGTCAGAGGAGAAGTTTCCTGAAATTGGAGGTAGAGCCCTTGGTCCCAGCAGCTGGGGGAGAAAGCTGGAGGGCAGAGAACCAGACAGATCATGTTTTGACCTAGTCTGGGTTCCTCCTTTTTTGAAGTTCTAATGTTGCCAAAGGGGATTTGATTTCCTATCCTGGGACCTGGGTGAACCTGAACCTCCTGGACAAGCCCAGGGTTAGGGCCAGATGAGCTTGGCCTGGGGCAAAGGCCAGCATGCACAGCATGTCCTGTGAGGCTGGAAGGACAGTGCCAGTCCTAAATCCAAGGTGAGCCCATGGGACCCGAGACAGGGTTGAAGCTGGAGGTAGAGATGTGGGATGCCGGAAAGGACCACATGCTGAGCACTGGGCAGGGCCCTCACCTGCCCCTAGTACCGCAGAAGCATAGTTCTTTGGCATGGGTGAGGCCAGTGGGTATAAGGCTGTAGTTTATGGATGGATAAATTGGGCACATGTAAAGTCTCATGGTTAAACGTAGGGGCTCCTAGTTTCCGCCAGCTTCAGACGTCATTTGGCAATTCAGAAAATAGGTACCCGTGACCTGCTGAAGCTGGCAATGGATCCATGGGGTAATGTTAGGGAGAAGACCTGGGGAAGGAGCTTCAGGAATGCAGGGGGCTCTCTTAGAAGGATACTGTTCTCCACCCACCATCCTTCCCAGCCTCCACCCCAACCCTCTGCCCAGGGCCAGTGATCTGTGGGATTCGTGGCACGTGCTGTCACCCTGGTGGAGGCGCAGATGGAGGGCTAGTCAAGCAGCACCATTTATTTTTTGGAAGCAGCAGAACTGAAAACCTTGTGTCATTTTAACAAGAAGAAATGAAACAGCAGGCAATTAGGCAGGAGTCTATCAATTAGTGAGCCAGAAAAATGCTTTGCAATATTTTGATGATTCAACACTGTCAAACAAAAACAAAATGAAAATAATAACCCCAAACAGACACCAGAAAACCCACAGAAATTGTTAAATGATCAGTTGGTTTAAATGCATTTAAAATAAATGGAAAAAAGAGACAGAACCATTTGGTAGGGAAGACAGAATTAACAAAATGTGATGAACACCCCATTTCTAAAAGGAATACATCTGCCTGGGTTCCTCTCTCATACTCTCCTCTCAACCCTCCTTGACCAACAAATTACTGTGACCATCTATACTCCCCAGCTTGGAAAATGTATTGAGCCTTTCCTGGAGTTAGGCACAGAGAAAACAGGCAAGGCACATTCCTTCCCTCTTGGGCTCTGACACCGAGTGTCTCTCCCCAGCAGGTCATGAGGGCCAGCACCCTGGAAGTGTGTGAAAGAAGTCTTTTTCAAGTTAGTAGGTAAGGGAGTAGAGTGTGTCTTGCCATGATCTGGCCTTGGAGTTGAATCTCAGCTTTGACATTCACAAGAAATGGAAACCAGGGGAAGATAGACAAGATTTTTAGAGGTTCTGTTTCCTCATTTGCAATCAGGGCAATGATTCCTACTTCATGAGGCCATTGCCAGGATTAAAGAAGATAATATATAAAAAGTTGGCAATGCAGAGAAGGTGCTAGACACTGCTATTTCTCTTTCCTCCTTAGAGCTTCAGACTTAAGATGACTGGCATCTCCAGGAGCATTTCCCATCTGACTTGCAATACAAGTGCACAATAGAGAGGGCCATTTGGCCACATGGTGACTTATGGCCTTGCTGGATACCTGGCCCTGGAAGATTTCCTGACAGTAGCTCAAGTTGCTTTCTTTGGCAACACTTTCCTTATTTCCCCACAACAGATTTACTTTGAGAAGAAGCCTTTATAAGGAACTCAAGGCCTCTGTTACTATGATCTTTTTGTTCTCTCTGAGTGGAATGTGCATGTTGGTTTCTGCTTGCTTTGTATCTCTTCCTTGCCTTAAGTTCTTCAATTCTGGTGTACAACAAAGATATTCAATGCACAGTTTATTAGAGTATGTATGTATTCATTCAATTCATTCATTCTTCATTTTTCTATATCTATGTCTTGCTCACCAGACAGAGGCTAACATGGCACGTTTGCAGGGATGGGATATGGAGGATGGGGTCGGGGAGGCCTCGGGTGCTGGGGGTGCCCTCTGCTGGGATGATTGTCTACACCTGCAGTAAAGAGCAACCCATGCCAAGTGTGGCTCCCTGACTCCAGTAGGAACAAGATGCCCTTTCAGAGGTGCCTTCCTGTGGCCAGGCCCTCAGCCTCGGAGCAGGTGGGTTGAGGCTGGCCTTGGAGACAGGACAGTTTTCTTCAGCTGAGTTGAGGAAGGGCCCAGGCTGCACTGAGTAAACCACATGCGTGTCTGAGTGTGAAGGCCATTCTGAGATGTGTGCTGAGGCTGGTCTGGCCCAGCTGTGTGACAGCCCAGTTACTATGATCATGAAAAATGTGTTTATTCTCACATGCAGTACCCACTGTGCATACATCCACATAACCACCTGCCCAGAGCCCTGCAACTGCAGAGCTGGTGAGCCACCAGTGGTCACTTCGACAGCACCATCATAATAAAAATGGGGAAGCTGAGACCCAGAGCGTGGAGTTCACAAGTCCAAGATCACTCTGAGAGCTGAACACAGGGCCTCACAGGCCCCTGCTGCCCCCTCTCCCATCATACTCAGTCCTGCTCCCTGGACACAACCTCTCTCAATTCTCTAGCTATTTCTTCTACTGTTCATTTTTTGTTTCCCTGAATTACAAGTTTTGACGGCTGCTTCTTAACTTATCAGTTTTTGGCAATTATCTACTGACTTCTCATCAGGTTGACGTGGACTCAGCTCGCCTATTTCCTGCCCCCATCTCATTTCAGTCTCCTCATCCACCCAGGTCCTCTCAACTTAATTAAAAACATTGTTCACTGCGGGTCAAGTTGGTGCTATAATTGCATTTTCCTTCTTGTACATCTTTTCATTTTCCTAGAATTAAAAATTGCACATTGCTTTTTCATTTGCATAGTTTATGATGTGCCTGCTATTGTGTTTCCCTGCCATCAGATCTGTCGTAACCTTGGCAGATGGGTTTTCCCAAACGGGGAGCTGCATTTTCAGCCATGTCTTAGACCAGTTCTATTCCCAGGGTGTTCCGTCCTCACCAGTCTGGTTGGAGGCACAAATGGGGTTACACTGCCAGGAGCCGTCTGCATGGCTTACACAGGCCTGGACCTCCCTCCTTAGTCCAGGCACTCCTGGGAGTTCCAGGGTGTCTCTCCCACGTGCTCACAAGCGACTCTGCTTCTGGCCATTTTCTGCTGTGTGGCTGCCTCTGCCAGAGCCTCCTGCTTCTCTGCTTCTTCCAGCTCTCACCATAATAGCCTCTCCTACCAGGGGCCGTAGGTTTCTGCCAGGTACCCTGCTTAGTGCTCTGAGGGCCTCCTGATGCTGGCCGGCACTGCAGTGCACTGTAGCACGATGGCATGGGTGCTGCCTCTGCTGCTGGCTCCCAGGGCTATATGATACTGACACTGGGACTGGGCCCACCATTGCCCTGGATTGTAGGGACATTCCATGTCGGTTGGTCCGGGACAAGGCTTTCTCTTTGTGTTCCCATCCCCATCAATGTTGTCCAAGTCCCCACCATTTGTTCACAGGGGTTTACACTGATTTGAGGCTGTTGGCTGCAGGATGGAGTTGATGAGGGCGTTGCCCTCCAGCACAGCTTGTGCTTGGTCCCTTTCACTGGGGGCCCCGATCCTTTTGCATCCTGGTCTTTCTTCCTCTCCCCACTGCAAAGACTTTTCTCCTTCCTCACTTTCCTTTTCTGTCCCTGTCACCAAATAAAAGCACTTGCCCTGGTAAAAACACATTGCAGGTCATGTTTTACCTAGGTCAGTATCTGTGTCTTGGAGTCTTGTTTCAGCTTGGGGTGGCCCAGGGCACCTGTGAGAAGGGAGAGGAAGTACACAGAAAACAAATCCATTCATACTTGGAGTCTAACCTGCCTCCTCAGGACAAACTAGGTGCTGCCCACGCCTGGGTCTTTGCGTTTTTAAGGGAAAGGCTGCTGCTACCTGATTTAATTTTTGTTCCCTTTAGGAATTGGCTGGCCTGAGGACAGATTCCTCAGTGTCTTTGTGATCACCCCTCTTGGGTCCCTGGGCACCGTCTCTGTTCCTGGGTCAAGCTTGTTCTGCCTGGTTCCCTCTCTGCCCAGGAGGAGCCCCTGTTCCTCTGTTCACTGTCTTCAAAATAGGTCTGGATGCAGCTTAGGCTCAAGCTGAGTGATAGGGTTTGGCTGTGTCCCCACCCAAAATCTCATCACAGGTCAAGGGCGGGACCAGGTGGAGGTAATTGAATCATAGGTGTGGTCTCCTCCATGCTCTTCTCATCTCACGAGAGTCTGATGGCTTTATAAGCATCTGGCATTTCCCCTGCTTGCCCTCGTTCTGACCTGCTGCCCCGTGAAGAAGGTGCCTGCCTCTTCTTTGCCTTCCGCCATGATTGTAAGTTTTCTGAGGCCTCTCCAGCAATGCGGAACTGTCAGTCAGTTAAACCTCTTTTCTTTATAAATTACCCAGTCTCGGGTATTTCTTCATAGCAGTGTGAGAACGGACTAATACACTCAGACCTGGCACTCTTGATTTAAATGAGATATGATTTTGAATGATTTTGGTATGTTTTAATGAAATTATACTATTTTCAATACAAAATGTATTAAAACTGAAAATATGATTGATTTTATAAATCTTTGGTAAACTATATAAATAAGTTCACATTTCAGAACTGACTCCCCTCCCTCCCTCCCTTCTTTACTTCCTTCCCTCCCTCTTTCCTTCCTTCCCTCCTTCCTTCCTCTTTTTATCCTTTTTAAAAAAATTAATAGCATTTTGGTTCAGAGAAATGGCCACTTTACCTGTAGAGGGACACCTGCAGCACCCATCCCAGTTGTGGCTTGATTGATCAGCCCTCCCTCTCCAGCTAGGAATCCACTGCAGCTGCGGAGTCTCTGCTCTTTGCCTCCAGAGAAGCTGCATCAAGCAGATGGATGGGCACTTTCCAGCTTTAGAGGAAATTCACTTCAGCAACCCCAGAGCAGTTTGAGAAACAAATGTGTCTGTTGTAAACATCTCACACAGTCATAAACTGCAGCCTCTCTTTAGAGCCCCACAGAGACATGACCCTGCCCTTCCCTGACCCCTGCACTGTGGTTTATGAGTAGTTTTCTCTGCAAGGGGGAATTGGTGACTCTCTATCAAGGATGAAGAGAAGCAGAAATCCAAGCAGGGACCTTGCAGGGGCCTCAGGCAGGTCCTGCCAGACTGTGCAATGTAGACGATTCAATTCCACTTGGTCCAATGACCAGCACTGTGCCTGGAACTGTGGTGAGAAGCCAGATGTGTGGGTTCATGCCAGGCTCTGCCCTCTGTGAGTGTGAGTCCACATCCAGGCCCATGATTTTATTATAAAATCATGCTTCCTGTCTGACCTCCATGTAGGCTAAAGTCCTGTTTCATTGAGCAGCAACTGACTTTATTATACTAAGATGATAGATTAGTTTGCCAGGGCTGCCATAACAAAACACCACAGACTAGGTGGTTTAAATAACAAATTTATTTTCTCATGGGTCTGGAGACTGGAAGTCTGTGATCAAGATGTCAGCAGGGTTGGTTTCTCCTGGGGCCTCTGTTGGCCTGCAGAAGCCCTTCTCCCTGTGTCCTCACATGGTTCTCTCTGTGCACACACACCCCTGGTGTCTCTGTGTGCTCACATTTCCTCCTCTTTTAAGACACTAGTCATATTGGATTAAGGCACATCCTAATGGCCTCATTTTAACTTAATCACCTCTTTAAATGCCTCATCTCCACATATCCACATATTAAAACATATGAAACATGAATTCAGCCCATAACAGATAAGAAAGAATAGGCTTAGAGGGAACAAGGAGCAAAAAAGAGGAAAAAATAACATTTATTAAGTGAAATAGAATAGACCTGGGCATTTCAGGTATAATAACTGTGAATAAATATGTGTTAAATATGTGAATATTATTGATTTTACTCCTGAGAGTTAAAATATGTGAATATTATTGATTTTACTCCTCTGAGAGTTACTGTTATGTAGGAATTTGTTATTTTGCTGGGGCTTTGATTTGAGTCTCACACTCTTCGAATCCCATGGGTAGGAGGGTTCGGGAACTGTCCAGAACCCTCATCTCAAAAGGGCTCAGTGCTTATATACACCCTGTCCAGAGGAAATGGTATGTTCTAGCAACATCTGAGCGCTTGAGAACATCTACAGACACCCGGGGCCACCATGCTGTGAGCCCAGCACCTGGCTCTATCTAGGCAGGTGTGCAATAACCTAGGTCGGCACTTTCTCTTGTTCATAACAGCCCTGCACCATCCTGATAGATGGGGAAACTGAGGCTCAAAGAGTTTAAAGAATTAGCATCCCTAAGCAAGGAGTGACATGAGAGTGACCTGGGAGAAGTCAGAGCCCTGAGAATCAGAACAAAGACAAGTAATGCAGATAAATAAATGAACAATCCTGCTACTGATTGATCCTGTGAAATGTCCAGATGCGGAGACCAGTGCCCACGGCACAAGCTTTCTTTGGAAGGCGAAGATCTCCCCTTCCTGCTGGCCAGGGTTAGGGTTGGAGGAACTTGAGGGGGACCAGGGGAGGTGGCCTCAGGGAAGCCCAGGGTTGCTGGTGCCATCGCCAAAGAGGAGACTTTCGGTCTGTCCAGCAGGTGGCGCCGCGCAGCTGAGTATCCGAGGAGAGCAGGCTGAGGCTGGAGAAACCGTCTGCCCTAGGCTTCTTCCCAAATTGCATGTCCCCAGCAGGGGACTCTGCACTGCTAGGGCTCCTGTCCAGCACGGCATCTTCTCTCCGGGGGACTGGGAAACAGGGTGTTTGTCCTCACCTAGAAAACGGCCTCTACGCACACATCTGCTGGAGAGAATAAAGCTGCCGCGTGGCCCTGGGCTTGCTGGCAGGCAGGGGTGGCTGGTGGGCAAGGCTGGGGCCAGCCAGAATGCTCTGCTCCCAAGCAGCCTGGAACTCTCCCTGGAACAGGGCGAAAGCCCCCTAGTAGCCAAAAAAGGAAGATTCTCCCTGGAAACCTGGGCCTGTTCCCCAGCAGCTGGTCAGTTTCATTTGCTCCAAAGCTGCCCCTGAGATGTGGAAGTCTTGGGATAAACCAATTAATTGTAAACATTTTCTTAAATATTCCTGTTTGGACTTGAATTGGTATGTCTAAGGTCTTTCCTGTCCTGATAGTCATCCCTTTGTACGGTAGCATGTCAGCCATAGTGTGGCAGTTGCAGGTACAGGGGCTGGATCTGAATCTAGACACTTCTATGACTTGCTGTGTGATACAGTGAGTTTCTTAACCTCTCTGTGTCTCAGAGCCCTCTTCAGTAAGATGGAGATGGTAACAATTCTTATCTCATGGGTTTACTGTAAGGATTAACTTAATAAATATAAAGCACTTAGGGACAGCGTCTGACAGGCAGTTATTAGAGCTAAGTGGTTGTTATTACCATCAGCTGAGCATACAGCAATTTTCTCAACTAAGTCACGTCACACTAATGCAGGGCATGCAGTAGATTTCCAATAATGCCGAATGGGATTTAAATGGGGGAAAGAGCTTCTAGCAGGGAGTGAGGAGTGGGGCAGCCTATATTGGTGGATGGAGGGCACCAATCAAGGGCCACAGGGATACCCATCCCCTTCCCAGAGAGAGAGAGCTGCTCTTTACGCCACCAGGCCTGAAACTCCAGGCAATTTGGAAGGGCCAATGTGTCGGGGAGAAGAAAGGGAGAGATGTGAGTGCTGTGGCTTCAGCTGGGGGTGCCAGTGGCAGACTGGGCTACGCGTCGGGATCCGTGCAAGGGAAATAGGAATAGAGTCTAGCTCCAAGGGAAGGACAGGCAGGAACCATGCCACCCAGGAGCACAGCCAACCACCAGCCTGGGGGGAAAACCAGGGACCAAAGGCCAGAGCTGGCCAGGAGTCAGGTCCCACACAGAGAGGGCAGGGAAAGAGGCTCAGCTGGACACTGGAGGCTCCAGTCCCCGTAGTCACCCCTGAACACCTGACAGACTTGGGAAGAGCCATGGGCCAGGGCGGGGCTGACAGACACACTGCAGCAACCTCTGTGGGCTGCAGCTGCCACATAGGTAGGTGCCTCCTGGAGGCCCCATCTAAAGCCAAGGGTCATCCCTTTAATGGCTGGATCCTGAGCAGGGAGTAGGGAGGGGCTTGGCAGCCAGGCCAGCAGGTAGGTGGATTGGGGCAGTGACTTTTTGTCAGCCAGCTTGGAAGTATTTCATCAATTTCACAACCAGCATATCTGTGTCCATGTGCCCGGCTGGGCCCCAGCCCTAGTCTTTTTTCCACCCTGTAGTCACCTGATTTGCATTGGTCTGAGGGAGCTGAGAGGTGGGCAGCTGGGGAGGCTGGCACTGAATGACATCCGCATATTACTGCATTCCCACTGTGGTGGGATGTGTCTCCAGAAACGGCAGAGCCCTGGCAGTGAAGAGTAGCCCTGCACTAGACTGCCTGAATTTGAGTCATGATTCCACCACTCCAAGCTGCGTGACCTTGGGCAAGTGACTTGCCTTCTCTGTGTCTCAAATTCCTGCTTCCTGTTTTCTAAACCGAAAACAAAATTAGTACCTTTCTCACAAGATGCTATGAGAATTAACTGAGCAATGTGTGCAATACATTTGGAACAGTTACTTATACCTATAGTATTTAGAACTATTCAAAAAGCAGTAACTTTTTTCATTAAGCACACGTTAATTTTGCATCATCTTCCAAAGTACATAGTTCCTGGCCTTAAGGACACATATGTATTTGGGAGGGAACTGTGAACTCTGCCTCTGTGGAGTACGAGCAGATGAACCCAGGGATCAGAGAGGGAAGGGGTTGACCCAGGCCACAAGGAGGATCAATGGCAGAACAAGGGAGGATCCAGGCCTCCTGAGGCATGTCAGAGTCTTCATGGGTGTAATGTTTGATATGGGCAACCTGCTTTCTTTTCTTCCCTTCCTCCATCTAAGCTGATGCTTGGACTCTGATCTCCAGGGATGAGGAAGAGCTGACAGTGGAAATAGCAAGTCTTTATGGATTTACTTTCCAAGGTCTTAGCCTCAAAGGAGAGAAGGAATTTGAGGCAGACAAGATGAGCAACTGGGACAAACCTGCAGGAAGGATTTCCCCTGAGACTAGAGGGATCTGAGGCGAAAGTGGGAGGACTGTGTAGAACTTGGTTGTGGGCCAGCACCGGCTGCCGCTTGGTCCCCATGCCTGTGTTTTGTCATGAACTGCATTTCTGCAGGCCCAGCATTCTCTGTGGCTATTTTTTGCTGCAGAGATTCAGGCCACGGAGGAGGCTTTTTGTCTGTACACCCTCAGCAATGAATGGCCACAGCAGCTGCCTGTTACAAATGCCTTCCTCTTTCTGAGCTGCTGGCGTGTGAAGGGTTTTATAGGCGGCCTTGCTTCAGATGGAAATAGAACAGCTCTGAACTTGCTACCTATTACCTAGAAGTCATTTTCTGTAGTTATTCCCTTTGTGGCACCATCAAGCATGCACACCAGTAGCTGTCGAGGGTTTGGATATTTAACCAGCTCGTGTTCACACGCATGTGGGTTTCGCCTGTGCCTCTGTGAGACCTCTGGCTAGTACCCATGTGTGTTGGATCTCATGTGGCCTGTTCTCATTATTGGTATTGTCATTACACTTGAGACTGTGTGAGGGGCCGGGGTCCCAGTGCAGTCACCTCAGGACCCAGAGCTGACCTGAACAGAACTTCAGTTTTTCCTCCCCCAAGGGGACCCAGAGCTGACCTGAACAGAACTTCAGTCTTTCCTCCCGCAAGCTCATACATTACTATTTGTCACCCACAACTCAGCATGCATATTTTAACCAGTCCATTTTGGAATCCTTAAGAGGGAAAGAACATGACAGCACTGGACTGAACAGGAAGACAGGTCCCTGGTGAGATGGAGTGAGGGTGATGGGTGAGGGTACATCAGGTCCCTGAGGAGCCTGGAGGGGAAGGGGGCAGGGCCACCAAAATCAGATTTCTTGGATTACACTGCAGAGGTGACTGAGGAGTCTCCCAACACTTTACAGGGAAGTAGGAAAAATCCAGGCTGTAAAACTTTCTTTCAAAACATTTTGGAGGTTACTTTCCTTCTCTGTTTGTTTTCAAGTGCGTAACAGTGATCAGTTCCTTGCTTAACCTTCCTTTATCTGTCATCTTAGGACCAAGGTTGGCTGGGGGGCTGGTGTGTCAGTTAACAGGCAACATGCACAGAGCTGCCTGCCTGGCGCTGGGCCCCGGGTAGCTCCATTCTCAAAGACGTTGGACAGAAGCCCTGCGCAGAAGATGGTGCTGATGCCATTGGAATGGTCCTGCTCCCGGGTCACAGAAATGAGGTGGAGGAGGTATGGGGAGGAAAGATAGTGTCAAGCCCCTGTTGGTTGCTGTAGCAACATTCTGTAATGACTGGAGATCAGTTGCAACAGTCTAAATTTTATTTGCTTTTATTTTCTCTTTGGGAGTAGCATCATGGCTAAAAATAAGAACAGCAGAAACCCACCGCTGGGCTGGTTGGTGCAGCTCCGGTGCCTTCCCGAGTCTGGCAGGTCCACAGCAGAGGACAGAGAAACGGGGGTCTTTCAAGCCAGTGTGGTGAGAGACAGGATGGGAAAGAGCCATGTGGAGTTGGTGGGGGCACCCCTGCCAAGCTAGTTAGCCTGTTTTGTAGCCTTGTAATTTGACAGCCTGGTTTCTCCAAGGAGCGAAAAATCAATAGCGCTATCCACACACACTCAGCTTCTGACCACTTTAACTTCCATAAAGAGGCATCGAGGAAATATTGAGTTAGAGGTGAGGCACAGAAATTCTGCTGTGGTGGAGTTCTTGTGGGCCGGAAGGTAGCTCCTTCAGGGTAGCCTTTTAGCATTTGTTAGCTGCTGTTTCTTTCATTTCTTTTAATTTTTGAATATGCAAATTCCCCAGCATATACAGATGTAAGGAGAATAGTATTCTGTACACTGGAGCCAGCTCATTTAGGATGCTTGGAAAAAAAAGTGGAAGACCAAAATCTCTGCATCTAGGCAGAGAAAAAATGCTCCACCTTTGATGGAGTTATTTCTGACACACTGTGAGATCTCCTGGTTCATCCCAGTGCTACTGCACTAAAATCCTGAGTTAACCTTTAAAAAGAAGAAAGTCCTGCTGCTTGCGACAACATGGATGAACCTGGAGGGCATTATGTTAAGTGAAATAAGCCAGACACAGAAAGACAAATACTGCATAATCTCACTTATAGGTAGAATCTGAAATAGTCGAACTCATAGAGTCAGGGAGTAGAATGGTGGTTGGGAGGTGGGGAAAATGGAGAGATGTTGGTCAAAGAGTATGAACTTTCAGTTTTGCAAGATGAATAAATTCTGGAGATTTCGTGTACTGCACGGAGACTGTAGTTCACAATACTGTATTGTATACCTGAAATTTACCAAGAGTATAGACCTTAAGTGTTCTCGTCACACACACACACACACACACACACACACACACACACACGGTAACTATGTGAGGTGATGGACAAGTTAATTAGTTTGATTGTGGTAATCATTTCACAATGGAGATGTGTATCAAAATATCAAGTTGTATATCTAGACACAATTTTTATTTGCCAATTATACCTCAATAAAAACTCTAAAAAACATGAAAAGCGGTCATCTATTTTACCACAATTAAAAGAAAAATCACCTTTTGAGAAAAGGCTACCTTGGGCAGAGGAGATAGCAGGGCATGAGGAGGCCATGGATGGAGGCTTGGACCCTGGTGGCAGCTGGAGTGGAGAGAGGTGGAGGAAGTTTTGAAATATTCTGAAGTCATTGCTGGCAGGATTTACTGGGAGATTAGATACAGTTTGTGATGAGATTTATATATAATATTAGAAGAATGATGTCATGTAACTAGCATGACCATTAAGATATAAATAATAACTATAAAGTATGAACCTATAATTTATTCAAATATTGAATCCCTCTCATTTTACCACACTGCATTTTTTTTTTTAGACTGAATCTTGCTCTTTCGCCCAGGCTGGAGTGAAATGGCGCAATCTCAGCTCACTGCAACCTCCACCTTCTGGGTTCAAGTGATTCTTCTGCCTCAGCCTCCCAAGTAGCTGGGATTACAGGCATCTGCCACCACGCCCAGCTAATTTTTGTATTTTTAGTAGAGACGGGGTTTTGTCATGTTGGCCAGGCTGGTCTCTAACTCCTGAGCTCAGGTGATCAGCCTGCCTCAGCCTCCCAAAGTGCTGGGATTACAGGCGTGAGCCACCGTGCCTGGCCTCATACTCTGCATTTTCCAAAATGTTTTCTTTTATCAGCTCACTGAGTCCTCAAGCCCCCGACCCCCACCCAGAAAAAGGTTACATAGTCGTTTGAACTTTCAACATGAGACAACTGAAGCTCAGAAAGATGACAGTTTCCCCAAGGCGACTTAACCTCTTTCCAGTTCATTTTTGGGGATCTTGTTGCGTGGCAGAGGTAACGGTCAGATGTGAAGCCTGAGGCCACATTTGCCTGTCATTGTCTTCTCGCAGTCTCCCCACTAGAGCACCAGGGCTTCTGAACACAGCCTCTGTCTCACTGTCTTCGGGCACGGTGCTCACAACACTGTTGTAAGAGAAGTTTCCCTGCTCTCTTAACTCTCCCTGGTGCAATACTGGAGGGATCAGAAATGGTAACCATTATTTAAAAAAAAAAAAAAAAAAAAAAAAAAAAGAAGATGGTGGTGAGGATGAGGAGGAAAGGGAACACTTATACGTGGTTGGTGGGAATGTAAATTAGTACAATCTCTATGGAAAACAGTGTGGATATTTCTCAAAGAACTGAAAATAGAACTACCATTTGACCCTTAAATCTCACTGCTGGGTATTTACCCAAAGGAAAAGAAATAATTATATCACAAAGACACCTGCACTTGTATGTTTATCATAGCTATATTCACAGTAGCAAAGATATGGAATCAACCTAACTGTCCATCTGGATGACTGGATAAGGAAAATGTGGTATATATACACAAATGTGGTGTATATACACCATGGAATACTATACAGCCATGAAAAAGAATGAAATCATGTATTTTGCAGCAACATGGATGGAACTGGAGGCCATTATCTTAAGTGAAACAACTCAGAAAGTCAAATACCAATGTCCTCCCTTATAAGTGGGAGCTAAATAATGTGTACATGATATACACACACATAGATTTACAGATATATATAAAGAAATAGCCACATAATGTTGGGTGGGGGATAGTTGAAGCAAGATACGCCATAAGTTGGTGAGGTGATAATTGTGAGTGATGGGTTTATGATACTATTCTCTTTACATTTGTATAGGCTGGGAAATTTCTGTATTCAAAAATTAAATGAAAAGAAACAGCAGCTAACAAGTTAGAAAATAGGAGAGTGAGAAGAGAGAAGCTTTGTACCAGCAAGAAACCCTGGAAGAGGAAGAGGATAAGTCTTATTTTCAAATTAAGATTGTAGTGTTGATTATTATATAGAGCCAGACCTTCTAGTTCCTCAATCAAGACTGAGCTTTGTGATTTCAAATGACTTTATAATAACCAGAAATGACCAGGAACATCCTGAGAATTTATCTTGGGGGCAGATGAAAAATTAATCTCACTGGGCAAATTTAAAGGGTATTAGACAATTTTAGCTGGGGAAAGCAATAACTGTTTTATATAGTGTGGTCTAGATTTAGATTTAGTGTGGATTCAAAACTTGCTACCATTCTCTGCGAGCTACAACCTTTTTATTTTTGAGATGGAGTCTCACTCTGTCACCATGCTGGAGTGCGGTGGCGTGATCTCGGCTCACTGCAGCCTCTGCCTCCCAGGTTCAAGCGACGCTCCTGCCTCAGCCTCCCAAGTAACTGGGATTACAGGCACGCGCCACCACGCCCAGCTAATTTTTGTATTTTTAGTAGAGACGGGGTTTCGCCATGTTGGCCAGGATGGTCTCAATCTCCTGACCTTGCGATCCGCCCACCTCGGCCTCCCAAAATGCTGGGATTATAGGTGTGAGCTACCGTGCCCAACCTCTGCTAGCTACAACCTTGACTAGTTGTGCCCCATGTTACTTCTACCTCTTAAGGCTTCTATTTTCTCGTCTCTACAACATCTATGATGATGCCTGCAGAAGGTCATTGTGTTAGAGATGACACAAAATGCTTTGCATAACAAGTTGTTGATACTATTAATATGGTTATGCTATTGTAACAGTTACATAGCAATGGGAATAGTGTGAACAAATGCTTATTCGTATATGCTGCATGCACACATGCAGGGCCAGGGATGAGCTTGGAGGATGTGGAGGACAGTCTATAACAGGGAGGGAGAGAGTCCAAGATGCATCCCCCCTGCTTATACGATGTTACAATTACATGAAAAAAAATACAGGGGTTTGGAGACAAAGTTTATCTGATTGTGTCTCGTGAGCTGTGCCTATTCAACTAGCAGGTTACTCTTAAGGGACCAGCAATAAACCCCTGGAAATGTTAAGGGCCTGTGGTCATGTCTTTGGGGCAGTGTCCCATGCAGCAGCCCAGGCAGTGGTGTGAGCAGTATCTGCAGCTCTGGGGAGGGTGAGGGAGGCTGAGTCCCTGGGGCTGTGAGGAGGAACAGCCTGGCCATGCCTGAGAAGAGACAAGCCTCTCCGTTCATTATCCCCACTGGGCAGCTACAGTTCTGTTCTAACTAATGTGTGGTCTTAGGGTCATCATGTCTTCTCTCAATCCTCAATTTCCTCATCTGTAAAGTGGGAGAAGCATGGAAGGATGTCAATAGTGGTCTTCACAGTACGACAGAGCCCAAGCGAGCACAGCACTGAGCAACAAAGCTGAACTTAAATCTTTAAGATCTGTTTCCTGTGTCCTTGGTGAGGACACTTTTTTTCTTACTTGAAATGGCAACAGATTCAACAGCTATGCATTGATTTGCACCGCCCCCCTACCCCTGACATCCTGCCACCAGCAGAAACAATGATGAATATCAGATTATGCTGACCTAAGGAATGATTATATTTCTTATTCAGTTGAAGTCTTTTCCCTTTGAATTTTATTAATAATGGGATTAGCAATGAAATAGTTCCATTGGACATTTTAATGTATTTTTTATTACAAAAGTGATAGAAACACATTGTAGAGAATTTTTAAAATGAGAAAGAGGAATGGGATAAGCGGAATGGGGAAGGGAGGAATGAAACAACAGATACAAATCACTCAAGAACACTTATATGCTTGACTTCTTCCTGTTTTATGTGGATTCTCATTTAATCTTCTCCACATCCCTATGGAGAAATGCTATTAATTTTGCAGCTGAGAACACTGAGACACAGAGAGGTTAAGTCACTTCCTCAGAATCACACAGCTCTAGGCAGCCTGATTCACCACCAGCCAATACTGTTTACCAGATACCGCATTCCCACATCAGTTAGATTGAGTTCTGTCCTTTCATGCATCATTTGCAAATTTGTAATTTTGATTTTGATTTCTTTTTAAATGTAGCCCAAGAATTTTCTTAATTTTTAAGAATTCCATTTTTATAATATTTTAATTGTTAATTTCTAATACAACTGAATCATGATTAGACTGTAGCTTGTAAATCTGAATTTTTGAATTTGACAGACTTTTTTTGGCTGAAGACATGATCAGTGTTGTAAAGGTTTCCATCTATATGAAAAGAGTCCATTAATAATTTAAGCAATAAATGTTCATATCCTTACTCAAATCCTCATTCCTTTGGTCAACTTGAGCTATAAAATTTTAAAGAAGTATATTTATATTTTAAATTCAAGTTGCATCTTATTCAAATGGTATTTACAGGAGGTTTTGATTTGGTTGCTATGTTATTTGGTACATGTGGCTGTTACAATCTCATAATGGATTGAATCTTGTATCACACCATCTATCCTGCTAAATGCTTTGGACTTTAAACTGGGATTTGCTGACATTGAGATTATTGCTATTGTTTGTCATTTGCTTGCTTATTTTCATTTGCTGGTATTCTGTCTCCCCCATTTTCAGTGTTTGTCACCCTGCACTAGAGGTATTTCTTGTGAATAGCAAAGAATACGGTGCTGTTATTTAATGCAGTCTAAGGGTCCACTTTTTGATCTAGAAATTATGGATGACTTGGGATAGCCTTGATTTTATCCATTTCATTTCATTTTATTTAAAGTTTGCCATTTATTTTGTTTTACTGTTTCCTGTTTTTCTCAGTCTTTAAATCTGCTGGCTGGATATAATTTATTTTTATTCTCCTATTAATTTTTTTTTTTTTTTGAGAGGGAGTTTCGCTTTTGTTGCCCAGGCTGGAGTGCAATGGTGCAATCTCGGCTCACCGCAAACTCCACCTCCTAGGTTCAAGCGATTCTCCTGCCTCAGCCTCCCGAGTAGCTGGGATTATAGGCATGCACCACCACGCCTGGCTAGTTTTGTATTTTTAGTAGAGAGGGTGTTTCTCTATGTTGGTCAGGCTGGTCTCGACTCCCCACCTCAGGTGATCTTCCTGCCTCAGCCTCCCAAAGTGTTGGGATTATAGGCATGAGCCACCATGCCTGGCCTATTCGCCTGTTTTAATTGGGAAATTTTGATATGCCTTTATGTTCTCTACTACTTTTTCTGTCATATATTCGAAAAGAACTATTAATTTTCTTTCCCCCTAATGTTTTACTTTCCTACTCCTCCCCTTCACCTCCTATTTCTTTTCTCCAACAACTGGATTTATTTTAGTCACTTTAGTAATATAAAATTCCAGTTTTACGTAACACTTCCCCATATCCTATGTATCCTTTGTTTTAAGACCTTTCCTCAGAAAGCTTGCTGACAGCTTGCTGCCTGTGAGAGCATCCTATTCTGTGACTCATAGAAATAGAGAGAAATGGAGGTCTATTCCTCAATTGCTATCTTTTTTTTGTTGTTGGGAGAAAAGCTGAGTGTTCGGAGAGAATCTGAGGCAGGGCTTGCATGTCTGCTAGACTTGCTGGCTCCTTGCTTCTGGCACTCCAATTATCTCAAGTAGCCATATGTTTCTCATTCACTTGATACACTTTTTCCTTTCAACCCCCACATCCTCACCACCTGTTTCTTTGTTTGAACACCAATAAATAGTGTGGGCTCCCAGAGTTCGGGGCCTTTCGCAGCCTCCACGCTCTCGATGGCTCCCTGGTCCCATTTTCTCTCTCAAACTATCTTCTTTCTCATTTCTTCGACTCTGCCGGACTTCGTCACCCCGACGACCTGGTGTTGGGTCTGATCACTGCAACTTTTTTTTTTTTTTTTTTTTTGAGACAGAGTCTCGCTCTGCCACCCAGGTTGGAGTGCAGTGGCGTGCTATTGGCTCACTACAACCTCCACCTCCTAAGTTCAAACAATTCTCCTGCCTCAGCCTCTTGAGTAGCTGGGATTACAGGCGTGTGCCACCACATCCAGCTAATTTTCGTATTTTTAGTGGAGATGTGGTTTCACCATATTAGCTAGGCTGGTCTCAAACTCCTGGCTAAAGTGATCTGCCCACCTTGGACTCCCAAAGTGCTGGGATTACAGGTTTGTGCCAACACGCCCAACTAATTTTTGTATTTTTAGTAGAGATGGAGTTTCACCATATTGGCCAAGTTGGTCTCAAACTCCTGGCCTCAAGTGATTTGCCCGCCTTGAAGGCCTTCCAAATTGCTGGGATTACAGACTTGTGTCAACACGCCCAGCTAATTTTTGTATTTTTAGTAGAGATGGGGTTTCGCCATGTTGGTTAGGCTGGTCTTGAACTCCTGACCTCAAGCGATCTGCCTGCCTCGGCCTCCCAAAGTGCTGGGATTACAGGTGTGAGTCACAGTGCTGACCTGCACATTCTAGTTTAAATTCCACAATTGTTTAATTTTAGTTCCATATTTAAATAGATTAATCACCACTAATCTTTTATCACAACTTTTCATATCTGGTTTTTAATTTTGATCATTTGTTGGGAACTGAATCCATTATCAGGTAGTTTTTGCAAGAAAGACTCAGAGTAATATATATGCAACATTTAGCATAATTCCAGGCAGTAATCATTGTTAAATGTTATTTAATAATATTAGAATAATATAATAATGATAATCTTTCATTTTTTGAGAATAGTTTCCTTATTCATCTGCTCTTTGTTTTTCTTTTTAAATTGAAGTTCCTTTGTTCCTCACAGAATAAAATCATTACCTCCTCTTTTTCTCTGAAGGTATATTTACAGAAGCATTTCTTTTCTCATCTGCCTTTTTATTTTGGTTTCTTTAGCTATGCAAAAACTTTAATTGTATATAATTAAATCTGATGATCTATTCTTTGTGATTTTTTTCTATTACATACAAGAAATTTACATACTTGATATTCAATTTTACAGTCTTCTTTTTCTATAATTGGAATTTAATATCTTAATTTGTAGCTCTGTAATACATTTAGAGTTTATTTAAAATATGATTTAAGGAGAAACTCAAAGTTATTATGTTTTCCAAATTTATAACCAACACAAAATGTTGGCAATTTCCTTCCTTTCTATATTTGTTGAATCTTAAATTTTAACACCCATACACCCACCCACCCACACATGCACACTGTCTGTCTCTTGGCTGGTTTTTGTTTTCTTTTTAGCTGCTTATTCGTCTATCTTGATCTTACACTTTTGTAATATAGGGCCTATTCCCTGCCCTGCAGCCCACATTGATCGTCTCATCTAGATAGTTCTCTAAATCAGCTTATCCCAAGCTGTTTCTTGTGTTTCAGTGAAGTCCCTGCAACATATACTGCAAAAATCCTGCCCTATATCTTCAGCAAACTTAAGAGCAAAGCAAACTTCTACTTGCCATGTTTACCCCCAGAACCCTGGAAGTGGTTCTGCGTGTATGGCACTTGCCTCACTTTCCAAGGTTGGGAGACCAGTTGACCCCTCATTTATGCAAATTGATTTTCTCTTCTCCTCTGAGAACAATTTTTTACACCAGAGGTCTTAAGCATCTACAGATTGAATAGTGCTACAAAGGGGTTTCTTATACCGTTACACTGGCACAATGAATGTAAACTCTCCACACACTTGTCAAATTAAGAGGGCCACTTTGGGCAGGATCCGTAGGAGAGACATACTGTTTCTACTGTTACAGTGCTTTGTAGTTTGTTTTGTTAATTTATCTTTTTAATAATGTAGCTTCTCCCAACATATTGTAAGTTGAGGGAGGGCAGGAAACAGTGCTGAGCACAGAATCAATCACAAGGTTGAGGTTTAATTACTATTAGAGAATAATTAACTCTTAAGCCACCCTCTCCTTCAAACCAGTCTATTGAACAGCCAGGCAAATGAACAACCATCACACAATCAGGCAGGTGCAGTGACAAAATTGTCAAGGCGATCTCCCAAGTTGACATAAATCAGTTGTGTTTGTATGCAATCGGGTTGTGTCAGTTATTGGATCTAGATTCTGTGGCAAATTCACACATAAATCAGACACAATTTCCTTCCTCAAGGAACTCAGAATCTCTGAGGATAAATGACACATTAGCTTAAATATAATTTAAAGGGGAAAACTGATTAGTGCCACACAATCTGTGTATCAGGACAGAGAAGAAAGGAAGAGAAGAATCATTTTTTTCCCATTAACCTTTGGAGATAAGAAACACCATAATTTTGGTCTTATTAAAGGCCGCCCCATGATTAATATTTCCATCTAAGAAGCAATTAAGGAATTATTATCCAGGGAGATTGTGACAAAAGGAATTAAGCCATGCCAGCTCTGTTCAGGCAGAATGAGGCTTAGCTTTAAGTATTGAAAATAAAGTCTATTTAGATGAAAAGCTTACATTTTGTCTTTAACTTTTTGCTCAGGTGCTGTATAAGAACCACTGACTGGATGAGTAAAAAATTATCTAGAACTGCTCAGCAAATACAATCTACAGTGCTAAATGGAATACATTATAATCATGGCATGATAATCAGAAGAATAATACTTTAACATATGTAGTAAGCTCCAAGGGGCAACAACTGTTTGAATCTGTTAAAGTACTAGCATTTTGAGATATAAAACTGTACATTTCCATGTTGTAGGAAGTACTTAATTATTTCCAACTGTTATTGAAATAGTGGGGAAATCATCTTGCCTCAGTACCGTAATCACAGTGTTCACAAGTGCATTTAATTATACACATTTCATCAGGAAATTTTGCAAACCCAGTTATTTTTTAAGGTGTTAAATGGGAAGGGTTTCTATAATGTGCGTAAAACAACTTAAAAAATACACAAGATATCACCTAAAAATAGGTATGTTTTCCATATCTATGGATTTATAGAGGAGTAGAAGAGGAAAAGACCCTCTCTTTTCTCAGGAGAAAATAGTGTGCCAGAGACCAGTTGTCTTGCCAAAAAACGTAGGGCCAAGAGCAAAACCTGTGTTTTATCTTCTGTGTAGTGCTTGGAATCCTATATGTTGCTGTCTTTGGCAGACCTTTTTCTGGAAGGAATGAGCTTTTTATCTACCCATTTGAGAGACAGAGACACTGAGGTGTTGCATCGTGAAACAACATAGCTTAGCCATGTGGGTGGTGAGCCATGTGGGTGGCTGACCAGGATTAGAGTCGACTTGCTACGTGCTTAGTCGACTTGGTATGTTCTGCTGCCCCCTGCGTCGCACCTGGCTCAGAGCTGGGCTCCTCCAGCGACACCGTCCTCTGCAATAAGTTCAGGGTTTTCTAGCTGCTCCCTCTTCACACGGTTGAAGAGGTTGCAGCTCCTCCTGGAACCATTAAGGGCTATCAGGAAGAGGCCTGGAAGTTCCTGTGGATGAAGTTAGAGCAGTTTTATTACCAGAATCTGCTTCAAGTTAGCAAGCGTTTATCAAGCACTTGCTCTAGAAGCTGGAAAGAATGAATAAAACAAGAAGCTTTCTTCAAAGAGCTTATAGTCGTGGAGAGAGAGCGGCCAGAGGGAATAAACAGGAGAGGGTATTGTAAGTCCTTGGCGCTGGGAGGTGGTTTTGGAATGACAGGCGTCTCATTCCACATTGGAGTTGAAAAGTTTCTTTCCTCTGAATGTCTGAATTTCCATAGATCCCAGTGCAGTGACAGTCTACTCATTCCTTGAACCCACCAGCTTCAAAAGACTTGTCTATGCTAGTCATTTCTTTTAGCTCTTTTCAGAAATGTTCCACGTGATTAATGTTACATTAAAAAACCTCTGCTTTGGCTATGTTTTGCCATAGATTTCACACGGCTGAAACTGTCAGTAGGTCATGCTGCGTGATAAATTAGCCACTGTGGGGCCGTTGTCATATTTCCTCCCTACAATGTCATTGCTCAAAATTACACCTGAGATGGACAACAGAGCCCTGGGTACAGAGGATTCTCCCGATGTGATTCCCAGACCCTTGATAGGCAGCAGGTACCAGCGGAGCTCCTCATAGAAGACTGATTCTCTTCCTCAGCAACTGCTGACAGTGGATCTCTAAATCGCTGCAGGCTTACAGGTTTCTTTTCACCACTGTTTATGATGCCTGTTTCTCTTTTTCTAGGTGGTACACTTGAACACTGTGTGAAGACACTGCCTTCATCATTTCTTGGGAAGTCCTGAATTACCCCGAGGTGAGACATGGCATTTGACTAAGTGAGCCACAGGCCCTCATCACCACCTCACGGGGGATGCGACTCCGCCGGGGAGGGTGTGAGTGTAGGGGGTCAAGACAGCCTTCCCCTGGGCTGGCCTGGGTGCTTACCGTGTCCACCTTTTATCGTGAATGCACTGAGTTTTCATCCCCTCCTGCTCATAGGACTTCTCCAAAGTGGGAACAACGCAAACCACTCGGTTTCTGCTCAGGAAACTACAATCACTGCTGCTTCTCCTTGAGGCTGTACGCAGGGCACCTTGGGGAGAGTTTGGCGGTTTGCATATTCTCTGATCAAATTTGCCTGGTTCGTTCCCACATGGCCTGTTATAGTGTGTGTGGTGGCTTAACCCGAAAGGGCAACCTTATTTTTATATCTTCTGGTGTTAGAAGTCTGCATACCTTGAGAGGAATAGCAGCTGCTATTTCCTTTACATTTTCATGGCAATTGATAGGGAAGGCTGGAGGAGATCTGAAGCCAGCCTCTAATTCTTGCTCACCCAGGCAGGGGGAAAACCATCAGACAGGCGTGGCTGACTGAGCAGTGTTCCCTCAGGTCCAGTAGGACTTCTGTTTTCAGGTTATCCAAGTTGCAGTGTGTCATCCCTGTGGCTCTTGGCCTGTGGTGAGCACACTGGTCTGGACCTTTGCTGCCTGTGGGTCTTTATGATTTACGGAAGATCCTCTGACTCTGTGTCATTTCACCCAGAGTTCATGTTCTTGCCCACGTTCCGGCTTTGGAGGGAGGCCCTTTCTGCTCACACACTCACTCATGAGCTGGCCTCACGACCACTGCCTTGCTCCTTGGTGTGGCTCTGAACATGCCTGCTTTCTTTGTCCACCCACCAGCCAATTCTGCTGCTAGATTCTGGGGATAGTGCCTTCTTTACTCCACAGGGTGATGGGGGAGATTCTCTCTCAGCAAGGGCAACTGTCTGATTAAGATGGGACTGAAAACAGACCTGTTTGAGCAGAACCCAGGCTTCCATGACAGTCCACGTGCCACCACCCCATGAAATATCAGTGAATGACTGCATCTGCTCCTTGGTGGAAGAAATCAGTATTATATTGGTTACTACTACTTGACCACTCTTGAGTGGGTTGCACATCAATAAGGTAGATGATTAGAATATGAATAATTGCTGGCATTTGGTTTTTGGCTAAATGGAAAAGCCCCATGTTGTCCCTAGATGGGCTGCCTCAGTGGGGAGTGGGCCTCCTCCATGCTGACCTGAATTGCACCTGTTGGAGATGCTGGAGGGGCAGCCATTACTCCCTTCCTGGTGGAGAAGGGGTAGACAGCCTTTGTCTTTCCTCAGTGGGTGCTGATGGTGGTCATTATCCGGCAGAGCACGACTGCCTCTTCGTTTCCGTGGATACTACTCTGGTCCAAACCATCTCTGTTTCTGGGACTACTGCGTGGCCCTCTTCACTGATTTCTCTGTGCCTACCTGGCCTTGCATCTTTCTGTACATTTTCCACTCTGTAGCTGGCATTCTGTGAATAAGGCCACATCACTTAGAGTTCAGCAGCTTCCCACTGCACTGGGAATGAGGTGCAAACATCTTACTGTGGCCTACGGGGATTTATAAGATCTGGCCCAGCTTACCTGCATCCTGGTCTCAAACCACCCTCCCCCTGTTCATGAGCACTGGCCCTTCCCTGTCTCAGGCCTTCAGCACTGGCAGCTCCCTCTGCATGGAGAGTTCTTCACGTGTTTAGGTCTGTCTCATTCTGCAGATTTGCTCAAATGTCCTTTCTTCAGATAAACCTTTCTTCTTCTAAATGCGAATATACTTTAGTCATTTTTGTTTATAGTGGAAACTCTGGAAATTCACAATTAACACCTTTGCCCAGGAGATCTTTGTAGACACCAGAAAAAGTTTCAACCTTGTGCCCCACGTGGTTCTGCTGTGCTTTGTCCCGATGAACTTTCCTGAGCTGAATGCTAGCCGGTTTCACACAGATTCTTTTGCTCCCAATTTCACTTGGGCAGACCAAGTCTTCAAGGATTGCATCATGTGTGGCTGTTAGGGTGCAGATCCTGGGATACTTTTGCTTATTTTTTGTATCATTTTTTTCAAGTCGGCATAGGCAGAGTTCTCCTCTGAGCAATAAATACAGCATGCTTCCCACCGAACTTTTTCTCCAATTCATGTACTATCTGGACTTGAATTTTCTGGAAAGAACTCAGCTGAGGAATGGGAACAATGATTATAATAAGCTTCCTGACCACCATCAACTTCAGGTTTCTTGACTGCTGTTATTTTCAGCTCCCTGAGCTGAGCCTTGAGATCCAAGTTCATCTTCAGCTCCAGAAGACCCTGGAGATGCTGGACTTGAACTTGTCTGGCTTCTCACCATTGGGCTTCATGATCTTGGTGCTTGAACTGAACATGGCCTTCTCCTTCCTAAATGCCAGCCTAGGAAGAGGCCCAAGTCTCACGAGAGCTGATAAATCAAATAAACCTTTCTTGACCATTATCTATAGCATCCCTAACCTTACCTTGCCCTGGTACCCTCTGTAACATCACCCTTTATATGCTCATCAGAGCACTGATTTTCTGAAATTATCTTTGTCGTTGTTGTTGATTAGACCATCAGAAAAACATACTATTGAATAGAGCTCCCTACAAAGCTCTAGGTGTGTGAATATTTGGCCAAAACTTCTAGAGTCATTTCAAAGCCACACATGGCCAGGAATATGACAATGGAAAGAAGCTTGTCTAAAACATTGTTTCCATATATTTTGAGGTTTGGTTATCTCTTGCAGGCCAGAGTCTGTTTCCTCATCTGTAGTCAGAACAGTAGGAAAGGAACCGAACATGCTCTTATGATCTTTTCTGCTCTGAATTTTGATGATTTTGACATATGATCCACTGTCTTTCGGGGATCCCTATCTTCTCAGATTCTAAAATGGGAATAATGGCACACAGATATTTATGACATTCCTATAGATGTGTATTTATGAGATGGCTGTATTGTATTAACTAATCTTTAAATTTTTTTTTCTCAGTAGAATGGTTTCTCTGATTTAGTTTTACTTCTGAGTTAGTTTTTAGTCTGCAAGCAAACATTCACAGTTTTGTAAGAGTAAGAGACTTGTATGTGGGGAGCATGCACAGTGCATTCATGAGTTGCGAGCCAGGCCTTAAAGCGTGTGCGGCAGGGTTCCATCTGGTCACGTATGGAGAGGGAGCTGTCCTTCCCCTCTTGTCCTCTTGCAGGCCCAGACCTGTAGGGGCAGGAAGATAATTATCACCTCCTAGGATGCTTGGAATCTCCTCTCATCTTGGAAGGACTATCCTTGTGCTGGTCCTCAGAAAGAAAGAGACCCACACAGAGAATTATTTCCTTAGCTCTGAGCCTCTCTGTGTATACATGTGCCTGTCACACTTGAACTTTGATCATGAGACTCATGCAGAATTCAATGTAGAGAGAAGTGCTGGCTGAGGAGGTGCCAAAGCCCCCCTACTTGGTGATGATAATGAATGTGGGCAGCCACTCTGTGCTGAGTCACTGTGGGAGTCCAGTGGGCTTTGGCCAAGGCTGCTGCATGGAGCTGCCTCCCACCATTGCCTCCCACAGTTAGCAAGATCAGACTGTCCAGAGGGCAGCGGATGTCAGACATGAAAACACTCCTCTCTGCTGGGGCTGCCTCTCGTCCCACCAGGCAATCTGCTGAGAGGAGGTGGGCGGGGAAGGCCTAACCCATGCAGTCTGAACCCTGGGAGAGTGTGAGGGTGGTTACCTGACAAGATGGGAAATGTGCCATACTTTTCAGGACCAATTTAAGTCCCTTTCTCAGCTTGCTTGGAACCTCACACTTGTAGGGGCTGGTCCTGTGCTGTGCACTGTGCCTAGTGATCCACATTCTCTGTGTCATTTAGTCTTGACAGCATCATGTGAGGCAGGACTTTTTTTTTTCTAAAAAAGAAGGGGCTCTTGAATTTTAAAACACAGTTGGTACCTGGAAGCAAGATGTTTTACAGCAAAGTTTTCTTTGCTGTATAACAAACCATCTCAAAACTTAGTGACATAAAAACCACCATCATTTTATTATGCTCACAGATTCTGTGGGTTAGGAGTCTGGGGAGGGCACAGTGAGGATGTCTTGTCTCTGTGCCAACAAGAATTCCCATGACTGTAGGTGACTTGAGTGGGGGCTGATCCCTGAAGTGGGATGTTTGGAAAGCTGGGTTCAGCTTGGACTGTTGCCCAGAGCACCTACATGTGGCCTCTATATGCAAACGTGGGCTTATCCCCACATGGTGGGACCGTCAGGGACCAAGCATCCTGAGGACCAAGGCAGGAGTTGCAAGGCCTCTCCTGACCTAGCAAACCACCAAGTTAGGAGTATCACCTTCCTTCTAACTCTATTGGTTAAGACAGTCACAAGTTGGTCCCATGTCAAACATAGGGGACACACAGACCCCATCTTTCAGTAGGATGAGTGTCAAAGAATTTATGGCAGTGTTTTAAAACGGCCACTCAGGAATTGAATCCAGGTTCCCTGACCCTACAGCTATTGCTCTTCCCATTAGACACTATTGCCTGGATGTAGGAGGCAGTATGCTCTGGGGCAGAGGTCCGCAGGGAAATGGAGAATATGTATTTGACATGGCTGTATCACTCAGTCCCTGAGACTCTTTAAAAAAAAAAAAAAACTCAGCATATAGTTGCATGGCTTGGGAGGCAGCTGCTGGAGTGGCAGCAGCCTGGGCAGCTTTGGATGACCTGTACACAGGTCTAGGTCTTCCTCTGCACCAAGGGGATAACCACAGCATCCCCTTGCTTACTGTAAGGATGCAGTGCCCAGGGGAGGTGAAAGCCTGAAGGACATTCCAGACTACTCTGCAGACAGGAGGCAGGTCTCTGTCTCTATGAGGAAGCCCTGTGCCCACTGTTCTCAGACACACTCGGGGCCAGTATTCCAAATCCTGCACATATCCCAGAAGCCTAACCAGGTCCCCCAGATGACAGGCTGTTCCATCCACACTATATTGATTCTATTACACATTGTTCATCTGCCAATTCATCACATCCTGGAAAGAATAATAAACTTGGAATCACAATGTCCTCCTAAAGTCTTGGTGCCATGAAATAATGGGTCCGTAACCATGGGCATATCACATAGCCTTCTACAGCCTCCGTTTTCCACAAAACAGTGATCAGTGTATCTGTTTCTCAGAAAAGTTATGAAGACTGAGTTTGTATGAGAAAGTGTTTTCCTGTCTGATAAGCATAATATATACTAGATGTTTTTATTATTGCCATTTCCGATAATACTTAGCAAGCAGAGTGTTGCACTCACAGCACGCGCTTAATAAATATGTACACTTTAGTCTTGATTTACTCCAGACCCCAGATGAAGTTCACGGTAGAAGGAGATTGGAACTGTTATCTTCTGTCCCACTTGGGGACATATGTCACAGAAGTCCTTTTATATGAATTGGCTGTGCTTTTTCTTACCCTGCCAAGCTGGAAGAGGGATGGCAGGCTTTTGGAGCTGACATAACTACAGCATTGATTAAGAAAAAATAACTGACTGTCAATTTAATTAAATAGCTAGGGATATGCAGCCCCAGTCTCAGGCTATTTCCTTCAGGGCAAAACTAGCGTGGGAAGGGTGATCTGGGCCTGTGATCTGGTGGCTCCTCTTCCAGGAGATTTCGGAAGTTGAATAAATTTTCACGACTACTCACTTCATCCATCAGAGACTCAATTAAATTAATCTATGAAATATATGGAAATAGTTCTTTCCACACCAAGCCTCTGCAAAAAGGTTGACTAGAGCAAACTCGCAAGTGACAAATCTTGGTGCAAGTCACATTTCTGAAAATTTTCAATCCACTCTATTTTTATTGTAATCAATGGATCTGTGTTTTAAACAGCAGGCATTTATTAGTTCCCCACTGTGTGCTCAGTAGCTGCGTTAGAAGCTATGTGGACTACAGAGTAGGAGAAGCTGTCCTTGCATTTATGACTTTTTTTGGTGTCTGTTCTGAGAAAATCTTTTAGTGTACAATACTGAATATTCATAAAAGGATTTTGTGCCAGACCAGACAGAGAGCCTGAGAGAAGCATCAGGGCTGGGCCAGGCCACTGGAGAAACAACACAGGCATCCGTGTTTGAGGTATATTTAGTTCTATTTCCTTCTAAATGGCTGTGCAATATGGGCAAGTTGTTTAACCAGTATCAATTTGATTCTTATCTTTTGTACTAGTCAGTACTCATGCTGTTAAAAAAGACATACGTGAGACTGGGTAATTTATGAAGAAAAAGAGGTTTAATGAACTCACAGGTCCACGATGCCTGGGGAAACCTCACAGTCATGTCAGAAGGCAAAGGAGGAGAAAGTCATGTCTTACATGGTGGCAGGCAAGAGAGTAGGTGCAGGGGAACTCCCCTTTATAAAACCATCAGATGTAACGAGACTTATTTCACTATCATGAGAACAGCATGGGAAAAACCCACCCCCGTGATTAAATTACATCCCACTGGGTCCCTTCCACAACACGTGGGGATTATTACAATTCAAGGTGAGATTTGGGTGGGGACACAAAGCTAAACTATATCACCTTTATAACAGGCCTTATACAGGACACTGTTGATAGAATCCAATGAGGTCTAGAGAGCAAGGCTTCGAACTCACCCAACTCAGTAAATACTTGTTAGTCTTGTGTATGGAAGGTCAGCGGGGATGGCATTGGATGGGTTCTTTTTTTTTTTCTGAGACAGAGTCTCGCTCTGTCGCCCAGGCTGGAGTGCAGTGGTGTGATCTCCGCTCACTGCAAGCTCCACCTCCCTGGGTTCACACCATTCTCCTGCCTCAGCCTCCCGAGTAGCTGGGACTACAGGCACCCACCACCATGCCCGGCTAATTTTTTGTATTTTTAGTAGAGATGGGGTTTCACTGTGTTAGCCAGGATGGTCTCAATCTCCTGACCTTGTGATCTGCCTGCCTCAGCTTCCCAAAGTGCTGGGATTACAGGCGTGAGCCACCGTGCCCAGCCTTGGATGGGCTTTTGATGAACTATCTCTGCCTCAAGAACCACTCCCAAAACTTAGTGGTTTAAACAACAACCGTGACTCTTGGGTTGACTGGGGCTCAGCAGGCCAGTGCCTTTTCACTTTGAAGATGGTGCTGGATACTTGTGCTGCTCCATGTGGCATCTGGACCTCTGGGGCTTCTCCACATTGGCCTCTTTCTCTATGCTAGACTTTTCACATGGTCAGCCTGGGGCTCCAAGAGAAAGAATTAGAAGTGGTCAGGCTTTCTCAGTGCCTGGGCTTGCAAGTCTCAGGATGGTGCTTCTCCACATTTTTACTGGTCAAAGCAGTTACAGGCCTAGCGAGAAATAAAGCTCAGATTCTACCTCCTGAAAGGAAGGCAGAGATGATTGGGGATAGTCTTGGGCCCCTTGAAACCCCAGCTGCAGAGCCCTTCCCCAACAGCCTCTTGGTGTTTGGGAGACATGCAGGTCCCGTTTTCTGTTATGATCATCCACATGCATTTTGAATAGAGGGAGGAAAACCCGTTGCTGTCAGGTAGGTGGGTGGGTCAGCCACTTCTTTGATGTGTAGTCTTTCTCAGATCCAGTTCTTTGATGTCTAGGACTTCAAGTTTGACTTTGCCAGGTCAGGGCAGTTAGGGTTTTTTTTTTTTTTTTTCTCCTAAGGTTCTCAAGGACTTATTTACATGAACAAATCTCACAGGGGAGTGATGTGTAACTTAGATTATTATGTGTTTATTTACAATGGCACAGTTACTTTTTCTTCAACAAAACATCTGGGAGGCTGAATTCTTTTTTTTTTTTTTCTTATTTATTTACTTATTTATTTTTATTATTATACTTTCAGTTTTAGGGTACATGTGCACATTGTGCAGGTTAGTTACATATGTATACATGTGCCATGCTGGTGCGCTGCACCCACTAACTCGTCATCTAGCATTAGGTATATCTCCCAATGCTATCCCTCCCCCCTCCCCCCACCCCACCACAGTCCCCAGAGTGTGATATTCCCCTTCCTGTGTCCATGTGATCTCATTGTTCAATTCCCACCTATGAGTGAGAATATGCGGTGTTTGGTTTTTTGTTCTTGCGATAGTTTACTGAGAATGATGATTTCCAGTTTCATCCATGTCCCTACAAAGGACATGAACTCATCATTTTTTACGGCTGCATAGTATTCCATGGTGTATATGTGCCACATTTTCTTAATCCAGTCTATCATTGTTGGACATTTGGGTTGGTTCCAAGTCTTTGCTATTGTGAATAATGCCGCAATAAACATACGTGTGCATGTGTCTTTATAGCAGCATGATTTATAGTCCTTTGGGTATATACCCAGTAATGGGATGGCTGGGTCAAATGGTATTTCCAGTTCTAGATCCCTGAGGAATCGCCACACTGACTTCCACAATGGTTGAACTAGTTTACAGTCCCACCAACAGTGTAAAAGTGTTCCTATTTCTCCACATCCTCTCCAGCACCTGTTGTTTCCTGACTTTTTAATGATTGCCATTCTAACTGGTGTGAGATGGTATCTCATTGTGGTTTTGATTTGCATTTCTCTGATGGCCAGTGATGGTGAGCATTTTTTCATGTGTTTTTTGGCTGCATAAATGTCTTCTTTTGAGAAGTGTCTGTTCATGTCCTTCGCCCACTTTTTGATGGGGTTGTTTGTTTTTTTCTTGTAAATTTGTTTGAGTTCATTGTAGATTCTGGATATTAGCCCTTTGTCAGATGAGTAGGTTGCGAAAATTTTCTCCCATTTTGTAGGTTGCCTGTTCACCCTGATGGTAGTTTCTTTTGCTGTGCAGAAGCTCTTTAGTTTAATTAGATCCCATTTGTCAATTTTGGCTTTTGTTGCCATTGCTTTTGGTGTTTTGGACATGAAGTCCTTGCCCATGCCTATGTCCTGAATGGTAATGCCTAGGTTTTCTTCTAGGGTTTTTATGGTTTTAGGTCTAACGTTTAAGTCTTTAATCCATCTTGAATTGATTTTTGTATAAGGTATAAGGAAGGGATCCAGTTTCAGCTTTGTACATATGGCTAGCCAGTTTTCCCAGCACCATTTATTAAATAGGGAATCCTTTCCCCATTGCTTGTTTTTCTCAGGTTTGTCAAAGATCAGATAGTTGTAGATATGCGGCGTTATTTCTGAGGGCTCTGTTCTGTTCCATTGATCTATATCTCTGTTTTGATACCAGTACCATGCTGTTTTGGTTACTGTAGCCTTGTAGTATAGCTTGAAGTCAGGTAGTGTGATGCCTCCAGCTTTGTTCTTTTGGCTTAGGATTGCCTTGGCGATGTGGGCTCTTTTTTGGTTCCATATGAACTTTAAAGTAGTTTTTTCCAATTCTGTGAAGAAAGTCATTGGTAGCTTTATGGGGATGGCATTGAATCTGTAAATTACCTTGGGCAGTATGGCCATTTTCACGATATTGATTCTTCCTACCCATGAGCATGGAATGTTCTTCCATTTGTTTGTATCCTCTTTTATTTCCTTGAGCAGTGGTTTGTAGTTCTCCTTGAAGAGGTCCTTCACATCCCTTGTAAGTTGGATTCCTAGGTATTTTATTCTCTTTGAAGCAATTGTGAATGGGAGTTCACTCATGATTTGGCTCTCTGTTTGTCTGTTATTGGTGTATAAGAATGCTTGTGATTTTTATACATTGATTTTGTATCCTGAGACTTTGCTGAAGTTGCTTATCAGCTTAAGGAGATTTTGGGCTGAAACAATGGGTTTTTCTAGATATACAATCATGTCGTCTGCAAACAGGGACAATTTGACTTCCTCTTTTCCTAATTGAATACCCTTTATTTCCTTCTCCTGCCTAATTGCCCTGGCCAGAACTTCCAACACTATGTTGAATAGGAGTGATGAGAGAGGGCATCCCTGTCTTGTGTCAGTTTTCAAAGGGAATGCTTCCAGTTTTTGCCCATTCAGTATGATATTGACTGTGGGTTTGTCATAGATAGCTCTTATTATTTTGAAATACGTTCCATCAATACCTAATTTATTGAGAGTTTTTAGCATGAAGGGTTGTTGAATTTTGTCAAAGGCTTTTTCTGCATCTATTGAGATAATCATGTGGTTTTTGTCTTTGGCTCTGTTTATATGCTGGATTACATTTATTGATTTGTGTATATTGAACCAGCCTTGCATCCCAGGGATGAAGCCCACTTGGTCATGGTGGATAAGCTTTTTGATGTGCTGCTGGATTCGTTTTGCCAGTATTTTATTGAGGATTTTTGCATCAATGTTCATCAAGGATATTGGTCTAAAATTCTCTTTTTTGGTTGTGTCTCTGCCTGGCTTTGGTATCAGAATGATGCTGGCCTCATAAAATGAGTTAGGGAGGATTCCCTCTTTTTCTATTGATTGGAATAGTTTCAGACGGAATGGTACCAGTTCCTCCTTGTACCTCTGATAGAATTCGGCTGTGAATCCATGTGGTCCTGGACTCTTTTTGGTTGGTAAACTATTGACTATTGCCACAATTTCAGCTCCTGTTATTGGTCTATTCAGAGATTCAACTTCTTCCTGGTTTAGTCTTGGGAGAGTGTATGTGTCGAGGAATTTATCCATTTCTTCTAGATTTTGTAGTTTATTTGCATAGAGGTGTTTGTAGTATTCTCTGATGGTAGTTTGTATTTCTGTGGGATCAGTGGTGATATCCCCTTTATCATTTTTTATTGTGTCTATTTGATTCTTCTCTTTTTTTTTTCTTTATTAGTCTTGCTAGCGGTCTATCAATTTTGTTGATCCTTTCAAAAAACCAGCTCCTGGATTCATTAATTTTTTGAAGGGTTTTTTGTATCTCTATTTCCTTCAGTTCTGCTCTGATCTTAGTTATTTCTTGCCTTCTGCTAGCTTTTGAATGTGTTTGCTCTTGCTTTTCTAGTTCTTTTAATTGTGATATTAGGGTGTCAATTTTGGATCTTTCCTGCTTTCTCTTGTGGGCATTTAGTGCTATAAATTTCCCTCTACACACTGCTTTGAATGTGTCCCAGAGATTCTGGTATGTTGTGTCTTCGTTCTCATTGGTTTCAAAGCACATCTTTATTTCTGCCTTCATTTCATTATGTATTCAGTAGTCATTCAGGAGCAGGTTGTTCAGTTTCCATGTAGTTGAGCGGTTTTGAGTGAGATTCTTAATCCTGAGTTCTAGTTTGATTGCACTGTGGTCTGAGAGATAGTTTGTTATAATCTCTGTTCTTTTACATTTGCTGAGGAGAGCTTTACTTCCAAGTATGTGGTCAATTTTGGAATAGGTGTGGTGTGGTGCTGAAAAAAATGTATATTCTGTTGATTTGGGGTGGAGAGTTCTGTAGATGTCTATTAGGTCCGCTTGGTGCAGAGCTGAGTTCAATTCCTGGGTATCCTTGTTGACTTTCTGTCTCGTTGATCTGTCTAATGTTGACAGTGGGGTGTTAAAGTCTCCCATTATTAATGTGTGGGAGTCTAAGTCTCTTTGTAGGTCTCTAAGGACTTGCTTTATGAATCTGGGTGCTCCTGTATTGGGTGCATATATATTTAGGATAGTTAGCTTTTCTTGTTGAATTGATCCCTTTACCATTATGTAATGGCCTTCTTTGTCTCTTTTGATCTTTGTTGGTTTAAAGTCTGTTTTATCAGACACTAGGATTGCAACCCCTGCCTTTTTTTGTTTTCCATTGGCTTGGTAGATCTTCCTCCATCCTTTTATTTTGAGCCTATGTGTGTCTCTGCACGTGAGATGGGTTTCCTGAATACAGCACACTGATGGGTCTTGACTCTTTATCCAATTTGCCAGTCTGTGTCTTTTAATTGGCACATTTAGTCCATTGACGTTTAAAGCTAATATTGTTATGTGTGAATTTGATCCTGTCATTATGATGTTAGCTGGTGATTTTGCTCGTTAGTTGATGCAGTTTCTTCGTAGTCTCGATGGTCTTTACATTTTGGCATGATTTTGCAGTGGCTGGTACCGGTTGTTCCTTTCCATGTTTAGCGCTTCCTTCAGGAGCTCTTTTAGGGCAGGCCTGGTGGTGACAAAATCTCTCAGCATTTGCTTGTCTGTAAAGTATTTTATTTCTCCTTCACTTATGAAGCTTAGTTTGGCTGGATATGAAATTCTGGGTTGAAAATTCTTTTCTTTAAGAATGTTGAATATTGGCCCCCACTCTCTTCTGGCTTGTAGGGTTTCTGCCGAGAGATCAGCTGTTAGTCTGATGGGCTTCCCTTTGAGGGTAACCTGACCTTTCTCTCTGGCTGCCCTTAACATTTTTTCCTTCATTTCAACTTTGGTGAATCTGACAATTACGTGTCTTGGAGTTGCTCTTCTCGAGGAGTATCTTTGTGGCGTTCTCTGTATTTCCTGAATCTGAACGTTGGCCTGCCTTGCTAGATTGGGGAAGTTCTCCTGGATAATATCCTGAAGAGTGTTTTCCAACTTGGTTCCATTCTCCCCGTCACTTTCAGGTACACCAATCAGACGTAGATTTGGTCTTTTCACATAGTCCCATATTTCTTGGAGGCTTTGCTCATTTCTTTTTATTCTTTTTTCTCTAAACTTCCCTTCTTGCTTCATTTCATTCATTTCATCTTCCATTGCTGATACCCTTTCTTCCAGTTGATCGCATCGGCTCCTGAGGCTTCTGCATTCTTCACGTAGTTCTCGAGCCTTGGTTTTCAGTTCCATCAGCTCCTTTAAGTACTTCTCTGTATTGGTTATTCTAGTTATACATTCTTCTAAATTTTTTTCAAAGTTTTCAACTTCTTTGCCTTTGGTTTGAATGTCCTCCCGTAGCTCAGAGTAATTTGATCGTCTGAAACCTTCTTCTCTCAGCTCGTGAAAGTCATTCTCCATCCAGCTTTGTTCCATTGCTGGTGAGGAACTGCGTTCCTTTGGAGGAGGAGAGGCGCTCTGCGTTTTAGAGTTTCCAGTTTTTCTGTTCTGTTTTTTCCCCATCTTTGTGGTTTTATCTACTTTTGGTCTTTGATGATGGTGATGTACAGATGGGTTTTTGGTGTGGATGTCCTTTCTGTTTGTTAGTTTTCCTTCGAACAGACAGGACCCTCAGCTGCAGGTCTGTTGGAATACCCTGCCGTGTGAGGTGTCAGTGTGCCCCTGCTGGGGGGTGCCTCCCAGTTAGGCTGCTCAGGGGTCGGGGGTCAGGGTTCAGGGACCCCCTTGAGGAGGCAGTCTGCCCGTTCTCAGATCTCCAGCTGTGTGCTGGGAGAACCACTGCTCTCTTCAAAGCTGTCAGACAGGGACATTTAAGTCTGCAGAGGTTACTGCTGTCTTTTTGTTTGTCTGTGCCCTGCCCCCAGAGGTGGAGCCTACAGAGGCAGGCAGGCCTCCTTGAGCTGTGGTGGGCTCCACCCAGTTCGAGCTTCCTGGCTGCTTTGTTTACCTAAGCAAGCCTGGGCAATGATGGGCGCCCCTCCCCCAGCCTCGCTGCCGCCTTGCAGTTTGATCTCAGACTGCTGTGCTATCAATCAGCGAGACTCCGTGGGCATAGGACCCTTGAGCCAGGTGCAGGATATAATCTCGTGGTGCGCCGTTTTTTAAGCCGGTCTGAAAAGCGTAATATTCGGGTTGGAGTGACCCGATTTTCCAGGTGCGTCCGTCACCCCTTTCTTTGACTCGGAAAGGGAACTCCCTGACCCCTTGCGCTTCCCAAGTGAGGCAATGCCTCGCCCTGCTTCGGCTCGTGCACGGTGCGTGCACCCACTGACCTGCGCCCACTGTCTGGCACTCCCTAGTGAGATGAACCCGGTACCTCAGACAGAAATGCAGAAATCACCCGTCTTCTGCGTCGCTCACGCTGGGAGCTGTAGACCGGAGCTGTTCCTATTCGGCCATCTTGGCTCCTCCAGGCTGAATTCTTCATCGGAGAACTTCAGTCATGGACTCAGGCAAGGGCACAGGGATTCTTGAGTAATATCTTATTCAACGTGGAAAACCATGACAGAACTAATCCAATGCAGGGTCTCCAACTTGGCTTTGGCATTTCCTTTTCCAAGGACCATGCAGATCCTGCTTGTGCATATACATTTTTTCCACCTACATTAATACCATTGAGAAAAGTGCAGACACCGAGGAAGGTCTTGATCCGATCTGAATTCTATTCTTCCTGCTATGCCTTGAGAAGGTTCAGATATTTGAGGGTGACTTGCAGAATGCTCATGTCTCCATGCAGCGCTAGCTTCAATAGCATAATTAATTGCCACATTCAGAGTGTGGGTGAGCCATGAAGGCTTTCTGTACATCGACTGTGGCGGAGACAGGCATGCCAACAATATGCCATGGCTCAGAGTGAGTGTGAGAAGTGCTTACACTGGGCAAGCAAACACATTGCCAGGAGAACTTTCAGGAGAGCCACATTCATTTCAAGTGGTCAGAGCCAGGAGGTCTTTATGGAGGAGGTAGCTGGACAAGATTGAAGAGACTGGCTTTTCCAGGGTTCTGGAAAAACATAAAGCGGGGCAGGGGAAAAGCGCATGGCATTTAGGGAATACTGCTAGATTAGTATGAACTCTAAAGGGTCATAGATATGCAGATTGGGATGACTAGTGTGATTATTCACTATGTCTTGTTTTGAATTCTCCAACTAAGGTGAACATTCCTTGAATGTCAAGGCATGTCTTATTCTGAAGTTTCTTGGCACTGACTTTTTATAAGATTAGGTAGTGAGGTGATGGACACTCAAGGGGAGAAGGATGGCAAGGTAGGTAGACTCATTGTCCCTAAGAGAATTCCACCAAATTCCTGACACACTGAATTCAATGAGATACAACACCCACAGATATGTTACCTTACAGGGTAAAAGGGACTTTCCAAATGGAATTAAGATGACTAAGCAGAGATTTTAAAATGGGAGGATTATCATGGATCATCTAGGTAGACCTTGTGTAATCATGCAAGCCCTTAAAACAGAGGAAGAAGAGGAAGCCAGAGATTCAACATTCAGGAAGCATTCAACATGACATGTTGGCTTGATTGAAGGGATCAGGTGTCAAGGAAATGGCAACCTTAGTTCTACAACCACAAGGAACTGAATTCTGCCAATAACTTGAATAAGGCTGGGAGTGGATTCTCCCTCAGAGCCTCCAGATAAGGTCCTAAGTTGGCCAACACCTTGATTTTGGCCTTGTGAGACCCTGAGCAAAGAATCCAGCCACAGCATGCTGGACTTTAAGCTACAGAAACCTTGAGGTGATAAAAGTATGTGTTTTTTAAAAGACACAGTGTATGCATTGTTTGGGTGGCATTGGGAAACTAACAGAGATGACACACTTTCTTCTCCTCATCAGCTTCAGCTCGAGGTTCTCTTTAGTCTTCCGTGGGGAGGCCAGTACCACAGGCGTGTCATTATTGTCTTGGTCTGGAAGAGGTGGCCAATGGGCGGCAATTCATTTGGGATTTGGGGAGTTGGGCTTGACGCTGGGCTCCAGGCTGCTGGACTAGTCTGTGGAAGACACTTGAGAAATGGCTTCCACAGAAGGACACCTGGGCTGCCTTCTTTCCACCCTTGCCTCCTCAGGGGGCCTGAGCAGATATTGGCTTGTCCTGGGCTCCCTTTTCATCTCTCCTCCACCTCCTGGTCGACTCTGCCAAATTTCCTTCCCACAAAATGTCTTGATGATGAAGTGGGTTCTGTCACTCAAACTATCCTTAAAGCTCCCTTCCCTGATGACTGTCTTAACTCGGTGCTGGTCAGATTTTGGGAATTAGCACTAAACACTAATGTATACATGCAGTTATCCAGGCCTGGTAGAGGGTATTTGCAATCTCCAAGAGAAAGTTTAACTCCAATTTTTAAAATTCGTTACACAGGTATTGAATTTTATTTCTTCCTCTCTTTTGTTAACATTGAGAAGGTTTTCGTTTTTCTTCACCTTTTACAAAATAATCTCTTCTTCATTTGGTCAATTTACCCTTTAAGGCTCAAAGCCACCTCCTCTGTGGAGCATTTCTTGATTCCTTGCAGCATGGTCCTCATCCTCTCCTGTATTTGCACACACCACAGCTGTCATCCTTATCAGACTCTACAGAGGGCTCTCACGAGGTGTTGCCTCCACTTCTGGACCATAGCTCCTTACATGTTGTGTTGCCACAGCACCCAGGATAATGTTCTGGGTGTCCAGGGGTTGCTCAGTAAAATGATGGGAAAGAAGCAATGAATGCAGAAGCAGCCTGCTGAAAAACCAACAGATGGGACCTGCCAGATTGCAAAAAGCAGCTGTATGTAAGGCATAAAAACCAAGGCAGTTAATTAAAAACATTTTTATTTGACCTGATTAAAAAGAAGTTAAAGCTATGAGAAGTTTCTGCTGAGGAATTAGGGATATGAGTCAGGTGAGCAGTAATGTGAACTCTAGGGGGAAAGAGAGGTAGAAGAGTCAGGAGTCCTTGGCTGGAGCCCTAGCAGGCCACCAGCCCACGGGGACCTTGGCCCTTGGGCTGTTGTCCACACAAGGCAATGAAGATTTGCATTCTTTTTTTTTTTGAGATGGAGTCTCACTCTGTTGCCTGGGCTGGAGTGCAGTGGCACATCTTGGCTTACTGCAACCTTTGCCTCCTGGGTTCAAGCGATTCTCCTTCCTCAGCCTCCCGAGGAGTTGGGATTACAGGTGCCCACCACTACGCCCAGCTAATTTTTTGTATTTTTAGTAGAGATGGGTTTTCACTGTGTTGGCCAGGCTGGACTCAAACTCCTGACCTTGTGATTTGCCCACCTCGGCCTCCCGAAGTGCTGGGATTACAGGGATGAGCGACTGCGCCTGGCCTAGGATTTGCATTTTTTGAGTACTTAGGGCTCTTCCCACAGGCATCTAATGTGCCTCCTAATATCAGGGACATCTTCTGAATATCAGGAATCAATATATTCCCTGGAGGGTGAAAATATATATTCCTAATGGACAGCTTTCCTCCTAGACAAAAGGTTGCTTCTTGGTGGGCGGAGTAGTAGAAAGAGTCTTGGAATTCAGCTTCTACCATGTGACCTTGGCCAATTTTCTAAGTCACAGTTTCCTTGACAATTGGGGAAATTAACCTTTGCTTCATTGGTTTGTTGTGAAGATTAAATTATTTAACATATAGAGGACATCCACTTTAAGATGGCCTCAGGCAATCAGCACTTGAAAGAGTTTTCTCCCAATTACTGTGTGAATACTAAAGAAATTATACAAAAACAGTAGTCAGGAAATTTCCCCCCAAATAATGTAATTGACTATGTTTCTGTTTCTGAAAACAAGAACATTTGGGAGAACTTTTCTAACTATAGTTCTGATGAAAGATTGATCCCTTGTCTCATGACCTCTCTTTTTCTCTTTTTTCTTTTCTTTTTTTTTTTTTTTTTTTTTTTGAGACGGAGTTTTGCTCTTGTGGCCCAGGCTGGAATGCAATAGCATGATCTCGGCTCACTGCAACCTCCATCTCCCAGGTTCAAGCAATTCTCCTGTCTCAGCCTCCTGAGTAGCTGGGATTACAGGCGCCTGCCACCATGCCTGGCTAATTTTTGTATATTTAGTGTAGACAGGGTTTCACCATGTTGGCCAGGCTAGTCTCAAACTCCTGACTTCAGGTGATCCGCCCACCTTGGCCTCCCAAAGTGCTGGGATTACAGGCGTGAGCCACTGCGCCTGGCCGTGACCTCTCTTTTTCTTATCAATGCAGGTGACTTATAACATTGTTTGGTAATCTAGTATCAATCTACACCAAAACTACCCCAGAATTTTTAGCTGCTTTGTTGGCATGGTTCTGTCCACTGTCCTCTCTGAAAGGAGTGGTGCCAGTTGCTCGGGAATAGGTAGGAAGAACAACTAACCCTCTCCCCACTGTCTTCCCGTGGGTCAGAGACAGAGTCTGTCCCAACCAGGAAACAGGCACTTCCACAGGATCTCTTCTGTTTCATTTAGAGTCCACAACTCTTATATACAACCACACGGAGGGACTGGCTGTTGTGGACTGGATCTTAGGGACTGTTATTAAAAATGATGGAGAAAAGCTGAACCCTGGGAACAGGGAATGCTGGGGGTGGATAGTGGTTTAAAGGTTTTTATAAATTGCATTTGGTCAAGGGAGAATCTTTAACTTATTCTCATCTTCACTAGAAATTACATCCTTTGCCTTAATGTTGTTACAGTGGGTAGCTAGTCAGACACTAACAGGGCAGGAGAGGGACCCCCACGCCCCACCAGGAAAGTCAAGCAACCATCAGGTTATGGTCAGGTAGTTGTCACACTGCCTCTCTAAAATAATAGGTTGCAGCCAGTGCCAGGGAAAGTCAGTCTCCCAATAGATAGGAAACACCTGAAACATGATCAGCACTTCCTTATAAGATCTCAGGAGTTGGGCCAATGGGCTCAGTCATGTACATTAAGAGGCAAGGTGGGCTGGGCATAGTGGCTCACGCCTGTAATCCCAGCACTTTGGGAGGCCAAGGCAGGTGGATCACAAGGTCAGGAGTTCAAGACCAGCCTGGCCAAGATGGTGAAACCCCGTCTCTACTAAAAATACAAAAATTAGCCAGGTGTGGTGGTGGACACCTGTAATCTCAGCTACTTCTAAGGCTGAGGCAGAGAATTGCTTGAACCTGTGAGGCAGAGGTTGCAGTGAGCTGAGATCATGCAACTGCACTCCAGCCTGGGTGACAGAGTGAGACGCTATCTCAAAAAAAAAAAAAAAAAAGCAAAATGGTGGAATATGACCTTCCAGGGACATTCCACTGGAAAAGGGAATAATGCCTCCGGTGAGCATACATACAACTCCTGTAAACACACTGCACATGCTCAGCTCCCAGGCACTAGTAGGCCACCACGCATGCGGGCAGCTCAACCCAAGGGAAGAATCAAGGGAAAAGGGATGCAAGAAGCTGGGAGTATGCCAGCATATAAAACCCAAAGTCCAAGGTCAAACAGTGCACTAGTCCTCCAAGACGTCCACTTGACTCTCTTCCGAGTATACTTTTCATTTCTGCTCTAAATCTTTTTAATAAACTTCACTCTTGCTCTAAAACTTGCTTCAGTCTCTTCTTCTGCCCCTCAGTTGAATTCTTTCTTCTGAGGAGGCAAAAATTGAGGTTTCTGCAGACCCGTACAGATTCGCTGCCGATAACTTGGATACCCGCCACCCTTAATGATGTCAGGCCATTTTGGTTCATCAGAGCAGTAGGAAGTAAACTTGCATCTTGGAGTTCTCATTTCTAAAATAGAGATTGCAACGTCTATGTCATAGGCCTGTTAGGGAGATTAAAATAGTTCTCAATTCAGAGTATTTGGTTCTTAGTACCTAGTAAGGCCTCAATGAATATATTATTATCAATTATAATGATTAATCCCATAACTGCATTGGTAAGGTAAGCCATCCACCCTATTAACAAATACCAGGCTTAGCTAGAAAGAGCCATGTTTAAGGATGAAATAGCAGAAAAACAAAATAATCAAGAAACAGAATGAGGCCTTCCAAAGAATCCTGAAGCAAAAAGTTATTTCTAATTGAACACATAAGAACATTTACCTAGCATGTGTGTTTCAGAAAGCATGGCTTTCATGAGTCAGGAGTAGGCAAAGAGGCTGGACATGGTGGCTCATGTCTATAATCCTAGCACTTTGGGAAGCCAAGGCGGGTGAATCACTTGAGGTCAGGAGTTCGAAACCAGCCTGGCCAACATGGTGAAGCCCCATCTCTACTAAAAAATCCAAAAAAAAAAAAAAAAAAAAAAATTAGCCAGGCGTGGTGGCGGGCGTCTGTAATCCCAGCTACTTAGGAGACAGAGGCAGGAGAATTGCATGAATCTGGGAGGTGGAGGTTGCAGTGAGCCGAGATCACACCACTGCACCCCAGCCTGGGTGACAGAGCAAGACTCCGTCTCAAAAAAAAGTAGGCAAAGAAAAGGAGATAAAGGAATTAGATGTAAAGTCAACAGATGAGATGGTAAGAAAGTGAATTACACTCAAAAAAGACTTTCAGAAAAATGAAAGAAATCAAGCTGTGCATCCAGTTGTTGGCATAACCATGCAGAAAGGAAATATTCCAAGTGACACTAAAACACAGTGTTTTGACATCTCCTGTGGGTTATTCCCAAAGGACAAGAAGAACTGCCAAATATCTTCAATTTTACTCAGAATGCCTGTTGGTGGTAGTAGTGTTGACATTGATATTCTGAGACTGTTGTGTGTGTATCATGGAAATGAATCAAATGAGTGATTATGTTGTTGACATTGAGAACTGAGGGTTTTGGCATGGTTGAAAGGAGGAAAACATGTGAGATGGATGAGGTTAAATGAAAACTGTAACTTTGAATTTGAATTGTCACTGTGAACTGTATTTTACCTTAAAAATTTTCCTGTCAGTCAACTAAGAGACTGAGAGGTGGTGGCCAGCTTAGTGGCTTTGAGCATCCCCAGCATGCAATCTGTGATCTCTAATGCCATTTGCCACTAAGAAGAACCAAGTCTTCTTGGAGAATTGGCTGATTCTAAGTATGAGGAAGGAAATGTTCAAGAAGAGCTTAAAATGACTTGTCATACTAGATAGCAAAGAAGCTATTAAATACCACTAGAGATAGGTTAAGGGACTTAGAGACCACCTAAGAACCTTCCATAGGCCAAAGATGGGACATATTTGTCTTCCAGAATGATGATAATTGTGATGAATTAAAACACTTTGAATAGGTTTCAATGCAAGTGTTCATAATGATAACACATAATAAAAAACCTCATCAATTATTTTTGGAGGATGCTAGAGAATCATATTTTAAAATCTAGGAAATCAATTGAACATATTAAATATTTAGCCTGTTTTTTTAGATGGAGTCTCGCTCTGTCACCCAGGCTGGAGTGCAGTGGTGTGAACTCAGCTCACTGCAACCTCTGTCTCCCAGGTTCAAGCGATTCTCCTGCTTCAGCCTCCCGAGTAGCTGGGATTACAGGTGTGCATCACTGCACCTGGGTAATTTTTGTATTTTTAGTAGAGACAAGGGTTTTGCCATGTTGGCCAGGCTGGTCTCAAACTCCTGACTTGAAATGATCTGCCTGCCTCGGCCTCCGAAAGTGTTGCGATTATAGGCGTGAGCCACTGTGCCTGGTCTATTCTGCCTTTCTTATACAATTTCTTTCTTTGAGTAATGGGTTGAGAGAAATTCTCTATGTAGAAGAATTTCAGCTGATAAGCCAAGAATGACAGAATTAGACTATTTCCAGGCTCTAAAGATATAATCCAGGTAGAGTCAGACAATGCTTATAAATGGTGATAATATCACAAAAAAGAGACATAACCAGACATTTATGTATGTTCTGATCAAAACAAACACCGATTTTCAGGAAATGCAGGGGACAAAGGAAGATGTTAATGATACGATAGGGATGCAAACAGCAAAATCTAGAGTATATTAAACTCTACATGACAGATGGCTGGTTTTTAAAGGAAAGGAAGAAAACCAAACAACAACAACAAAAACAAAACACACAGAAAATCCAAGGAAAAAAGAGAAATGGAGGAAATCTACAAATTAAGAGAGATTTAAGAGACATCCACAAAGTTGATTTTTGTTTCAAACAAACTGTTTTAAAAAACCTAGTAAGACATTTAGAAAAATCTGAACACTGATTGTATGTGTTTATGCTAAAGAAGTTTTGTGAATTGTTTTGGGTATGATTGTGAAATTCCAGATTTGTCTTCAAAAGAGTAATCATCTTTTACAGATACATACTGAAACAATACTTACAGATGAAATGATAGGTCTACTTTTGTAAACATTTAAAACAGTTCATAGTAAAAAGATAACGGGGAAAAAAAAGACTTCCAGGAAAATGAGGACTAAGCTCTGATTTTTTAATCTTGCCCAAATTCCTATCTAAGGGGTCTGGGGAATCATGCCCTACAAACCATAACTTCTCATCAGATGGGTTTTATTTAACCTTATATATTGTGACTTACTTTGAATCTGACTCTGACATAACCTTACGAGACAAGGAAGAAAATCAAAATATTTTACCCCAAAACATGTTTCTTTACCATATCTTAAAATGGCTCTGCAAAGCTTTCCTTTGTGGGGGAAAATTTACAGCTGTAAAGAATCTCTATTAACATAGCTAGCTCTTTTTCTTCCAGGCCCTCTCAATCCTAAAGAGATTAACTAAGAGTCTAGCACCTTTTAAAGATCTGAATAGGAAACATTTGTCATCTATTTTCTCTAGGGCAGCCACCATAAGACTTCAAAAGAACTTTGGTCTCCACAATATTTTATCTTAACCTGAATGTTTCCTATCATCCCAGGTCTTTAGACAAACTCAACCAGTTGGCAACCAGAAAATGTTTAAATTTACCTATAGTCTGGAAGCCCTGTCCCCTGCTTCCTGCTTTGAGTTGTTCTGCCTTTCTGGACCACACCGTTGTTTTTCTTAAATGTATTTGATTGATGTCTCATGCCTCCCTAAAATGTGTAAAACGAAGCTGTACCCTGACCACCTTGGGCACATGTTCTCAGGACCACTTGAGGGCTGTGTCATGGGCCATGGTCACTCATATTTGGCTCAGAATAAATCTCTTCAAATATTTTACAGAGTTTTACTGTTTCCATCAACAAAAATAAAAACACAAAGCCAAATTAAAGTTCGGTTGTAGACCATAAAGAACAGAAATGACACTGAAAAACAGTGATCAGTGATGCAGAGAACAGTTTTGGCAAGTTCCCCAGCAATACAGAGGCAAATGGGTTTGCATGGTTTCTTGACCTTGGTAGGAGCTTAAGATAAGGTTTTCTTTCCTCTTCAGGTCAACATTTCCACTTTACCCTACTCACAACCACAGCTAGAGCAAGGAGGAACTGTATGGGAAATACCGCATGACAATGATTTTGTAGGGAGAGGCAGCTGGCTCACACTCACCATTATATTAGTAGAGCCAGACTAGAATCAAGCTCTCAACTGTCCTTCTGGAAAAATAAAGTTCTAGAAAAATAGATCACTTTTCTGAGGACCTGCAAGCAAGATGATCACCAAAGCTTGTCCTGGAAGACTGTGACATCAGGAGCATCATGAAGTCTACATTTGTTCATTCTTCCCCATTCCTCCTCCCATCTACCCATTGATACTTGGAATTTTTGGGATTTGAGAATATAATGTTATTTCCTGATGCACAAGATTTCAGTGTCTCCCTTTGCCGAAAAATACTGTGGCAAGTCACGTAAGACAGTCAAACCCTCTCTAATTTTATAAATCCCATGTTCCCCAGGTTCCTCAACATTGGGTGCTTTTGTCCATTGCTAGAGGCCCAGTCCTACCCATTCCTCGAGACTCAACTCAAATGTCGCCTCTCCCATGAAGGCTTCCTTGATCTCCTTCCATATTTTATGGGTTCTCTCTCACCTTCTGTGTCTATTTTCTCACTCTGTTTTGAAATTTTACAAAGCCTGATCTGTGTTTCTCAAATGGTATTGGCATGTTTCGCCTGGTGTTTATGTTGATGGATAATCTTTTCTACTAGGTTGGGGCTTTTGTGTTATATTATTGGATGTGTACTTCCAATAAACAGTATATGTATGTGTGTGTGTGTATGCACACATATTTGAAAAACAAATTATATGTTTTCTCTCTTGGCAAATTTAATACATTTATACCTTGTATGATTACTGTTTACTTTTATTTTTATATCTAATTTTGTTTTTTTGCTTACCATACTTTCTTGTATGTATTTTTATCTGCTTTTTTCTTTTATCTGAACTGAAAATTTGAAAATCCCTTGTAGTCTCTCTTCTGTTTGGTTAGTTAATATTGGCTATATTTCTTGTAATAGTTATTCTTAAAATGTTAACATATACTGTATATTTCTTATATATTTATGTAATTTACTATCTCTCTTCTCTGCCTAACACAAAAAAAACAGAAAAAGGCTTCAGCATACTTTATTACACACCGTTCTTCAATTCTGCCTCTTTTGTTGCTATTATCTAATACTTTGGGTCTGTGGGATGTGGTGAGGTTTCTCTTCAAATAGCCTGATCAATCCTTTATTCTTTAATTCCTAGTACCCCCGCCCCTTTTTCCTTTTTCTCTTTTTTTCTTCCTTTCTGCCTTTGTTACATGCCGAGACACACCACAGTACCAGGCGTTATCAGTACCAGCTCACATTCCTTTCATTATTTGGAAAGAAGACTAGCTCTCTAGCTCATTGCACACACCCCTCCCCCTTTCCCCTCTCTCCCTTATGTGCCCACCTTATCTAAAAAAAGTTAAAATGTTTAGCCAACCATGATTAGTTTAGATTGTATGGCCTGACCCTGGCCAATGGGGAAAGGGTACAGGGGCCGGACTTGCATCAGGAATAAAGGCTCTCAAGCCCCTTTGTTCAGGTGTGCTCTCATGGCGACTGGCCAAAGAGAAGCACCCCTCTGCGCAGAAGTAAAATTGCTTTGCTAAGAATCCTTTATTTGAGTGTTCAATTTCCTTAGGATTTTGAACGTTATTCCCAACAATTCTGGTGCCCAAATGTGGGACTCAAATATTCTCCTTCGGGAAGGGGGTCTTCGCTCACTCCACCCAGGGGGGATGCATCCCACTGTCTAGTTACAGTGGCCTGAGGGTGAAGGGAGATCAGGTCCCACCTGTTGTGACGAATAAATCTGGGTTCTCAGCAAAGTGGACAGGAGAGGCTTGCAAGACCACGGCAATAAAAGGACCAGGTAATTCTTGTGCACAGAATAAGATAGGAGACTTCACAAAGGCGACAAAGTATTTCCTTGGTGGTCGGGATAATTTGGAGGTTGAAAGTGTGTAAATGGGGCTAAGCATTATGGTTGTGTGGAGTGAGTGAGTCTTCTCTGTGGTTTTGTGCTGCCGTCTGTCGACTAGGAGCAGGAACAGTCAGAGTAGACAAAGAGAAAGAAGGGTGTAAGGAACCTCCAGAGCGGGTGAGCTATAGGATATGCAGGAAACCCTAACAGGAGGGGCTAAGCCTCTAGAAAGGGGGAGGTAAGACACCTCTAACACAAGAGGTTGAACCCCCTCTTAAAGCCTCAGCCTCTGGAAAGAGGGGTAGACACCTTTAACAGGAGAGGTTGACGCCCCCCATAACTCGTAAGATGGGGAATGTTTCAAGTAAGACAGGAAAACTAAAGAGTCAAGAGTGATGAAACTCCTTCTGATAGCCCCTTGAGGCTTATGCTAAAGTATTGGAAAGATAATGAGAAAACCAAGTATAAACGAAAACAGCAGATGATAAAATATTTTTGTTTTATTTGGGTTCAAGAACCCAACCTTAAACCCTCACTTTTCTTGCCAAAATTTGGGTCTAATGAGGAGCGAATTTTCCAGCTCTTAATTGAGCATGTTAATGATAAGAGCCCTGTCTCCCAGGAAGAAATTGATTACACCCTCTGCTGGCGGCAGGGACCTGTCCTCCTTTACCCTTTAGATTCCAGAGGGAGAAAGCCAGAAGCCAACCCCTCTGGAAGGGAAAGAGGTCCCATGTCTAGATAACCCACACCCACTAACACGTGGGACCCTCTAGATCATCTTCCTCCATTCAGTGCCCCCAGTCCCGCCCCTCCGGGTCCCATTTCAGGTCCCTGCCCTGCTTGCATCACTCTTCTGGCGGACCCCGATCCCACCCCTCCAGTTCCCGTTTCCGTTTCAGGTCTCTCCCCTGTTTGCGTCCACTCTTCTGGTTGCCCCCAATCCCCCCATCTGGCTCCCATTTCCATTTCAGGTCCCTTCCCTGCTTGCGTCACTCTTCCAGTTGTCCCCGATTCTGCTCCTCCGGGTTCCATCCCTCCAGCTGCGGTTTCGGGTTACTCCCCAGCTGTTTCAGGCCACTCCCTCACCTGTGTCACTTGGCTGTGTTCCATCCCCCCAGCTGCTGCTGCAGATCCCTACTCCGCTTGTGGTGCCTCTACTCATATTGTTCCTCCTCCCTGTAATCCCAACTTTGCAGTTACCATCTTGTGAGCCTGCCTCCCACTAACCTGTTAAGTATCCGTCTTTAAAAGGGCTTCCGTGTGAGATAGAGCAATGTAAACAAGATATTCAAAACTTTCCATTTCCCTCCACACGTAAAGAGCCAGATCCAACTTTCTTTCCTCTAAGAGAGGTACCACAAGGGGGGTGAGGGCTACTGGGCTATTGGCTTTGTAAACGCTCCCTTGACTAGTTCAGAAGTCTGGAATTTAAAAAAGGAGCTTAAGCCGTTACTGGATGACCCTTATGGAGTAGCAGATCAAATTGATCAATTTCTAGGGCCTCAGATATACACTGGGCCGAGTTGATGTCCATCTTAGGCACCCTATTTTCAGGGGAAGAATGAAGTATGATTCAGAGGGCTGCTATGGCGGTTTGGGAACGCGAACACCCTCCCGGTCAAAATGTTCCTCCTGCCCACTATAAATTTCCCACCCAAGACCCTCAGTGGGACAATAACAATGCAAATCACCAGGAAAACATGCAGCGCCTAAGGGAAATGATAATAGGAATTCGAGAATCAGTACCCCAAACTCAAAATCTTTCTAAAGCATTTGATATTCAACAGGAAAAAGATGAGGGACCTGCTAGATTCTTAAATAGATTGAGGGAGCAGATGAGACAATATGCAGGCCTTGATTTGGAAAACCCCCTTGGACAGGGAATGTTAAAACTTAACTTCATTACTAAAAGTTGGCCAGACATTTCAAGAATTTTCCGAAGATAGAAAATTGGGAGGACCGTCCCCTGAGTGAACTACTCAGGGAGGCTCAAAAAGTGTATGTAAGAAGAGACAAGGAAAAACAAAAACAAAAGACAAAACTTATGTTATCTACCTTCCAACAGATGGCCCCAAATCCAGATATCTCTAAGCAGGGCTTTCAAGGGGCCAGAGATTATAAGGGGCCTAAACCCTCCTTGAGAGGACCCAATCCTCCATCTGGAGGGTTGAGGTCCTCATTTAATAAACCCCCTAAGGGGTATAGGGGAGCAAGGGCAGAGAATGCTAAGACTAAGAAGGAAGAAGGACAAGATAGATGCTACAAATGTGGAAGAACAGGCCACTTCAAGAGTGAATGTCCTGAACTAAAGAGAGAGAAACTTTCACACTCATGACTTTTGAAGAACAATAGGGAAGTCAGGGGCTCTGCCTCTTTTATTATGAATCCCACCAGGAGCCCATGATAAATTTGGAGGTGGGACCTAAACATGAATTTATCACATTTTTAGTCGATTCAGGGGCTTCACCCTCCTCTGTTTGTTTCCCTCCACCTGGTCTTACCTGCTCTTCAGAAGAACTTTTAGTCTCTGTGGTAAAAGGAGAAGGATTTAAGGCAAAAATTTTAGAAAGCACAGAAGTCAGATATCAAGATCGATTTACTCATATTCAATTTTTATTCCTGAAGCTGGGACTAATCTATTAGGAAGGGACTTAATGTTAAGGCTAGGTATAGGCCTTCAAGTGGGCCCTAAAGGATTCCTCACTTCAGTACATTTACTCACTGCTGTGGATGAGAAATATATTCATCCTGATACCTGGTCAAAGGAAGGAAATAGAGGGAAACTCCAAATCCCTGCAATATGTATCAAACTAAAAACTCCTGGAGAAATAGTAAGGAGAAAGCAATACCCCATTCCTTTAGAGGGCAGATTAGGGCTAAAGCCTGTAATTGAACATCTCATTAAAGATGGGCTTCTTGAACCCTGTATGTCTCCTTACAATACCCTAATCCTGCCTGTCAAGAAATCAGATGGGTCATATCGATTACTGCAAGACCTTAGAGCTATTAATCAAATAGTACAGACCACTCACCCCATTGTTCCTAACCCTTACACCATTCTTAGAAAAATTCTGTAAAATCATCAGTGATTTACAGTGATAGATTTAAAGGACGCCTTCTGGGCATGCCCCTTGGCTGAGGATAGCCGAGATATATTTGCTTTTGAGTGGGAAGACTCCCATTTGGGGCAGAGACAACAATATCAATGGACAGTCTTGCCCCAAGGGTTCACAGACTTCCCCAACCTCTTTGGTCAGATCCTAGAACCAAGTACTAGAGAAACTCACAGCCCCTAGGCAAATATGCCTGCTTCAGTACATGGATGATCTTATATCTGGTAAAGATATAAAGGAAGTAGGTGACTTTTCTACACATATTCTCAATCACTTGCAATGCGAGGGATTGCAGGACTCAAAAGGGAAACTTCAGTATGTAGAACCTGAAGTTAAATACTTAGGTCACCTAATCAGCTCAGGTAGAAGAATAGGACCTGAAAGAGTGGAGGGAATTGTTTCCCTACCCCTGCCTCAAACTAAACAAGAACTCAGGAAAATTTTAGGACTAATTGGATATTGCCATTTATGGATTGACTCATATGCATTAAAAAGTAAACTTCTGTATGAGAAAGTTGCCCCATGGAAGCCTGATCGTCTCTTGTGGACTTCTGAGGAAATCCAGCAAACTGAGGAATTAAAAGAGATGCTCATAACTGCCCCTCTTCTATCTCTTCCCTCCCTAGAAAAGCCATTTCACCTTTTTGTTAATGTAAATAATGGGGTAGCTCTAGGAGTGCTTACCCAAGAGCAAGGAGGCCATCGACAGCCCGTGGCCTTCTTGTCAAAGGTCTTAGACCCAGTCATTCGTGGGTGGCCCCAGTGTATCCAATCCATCATGGCTACAGCAGTATTAGTTGAAGAAAGTAGGAAGTTAGCCTTTGGAGGAAAATTAACAGTAAGCACGCCCCACCAAGTTAGAACTATTTTAAATCAGAAAGCAGGAAGGTGGATCACTGACTCAAGGATTTTAAAATATGAGGCTATCCTACTGGAAAAAGATGATTTAATATTAACTACTGATAATTCATTTAATTCAGCAGGCTTTTTAATGGGGGATCCAAACTTAAAAAGAGAGCACACATATTTAGATCTGATTGATTAACATATAAAAGTTTGACCAGACTTAGGAGAAACTCCCTTCAAGACAAGGCGGCACTTATTCATAGATGAGTCTTCCCTGGTAATTGAAGGGAAAAGACATAATGGGTATTCAGTGATTGATGGAGAAATGCTTGAAGAAGTAGAATCGGGAACACTGCCTAATAATTGATCTGCCCAGACGTGTGAACTGTTTGCACTCAGCCAAGCTTTAGAACATTTACAAAACCAAGAAGGTACTATCTATACTGACTCTAAGTATGCCTTTGTGGTGGCACACACATCTGGAAAAATTTGGATGGAGAGGGGTCTTATCAATAGTAAAGGCCAAGATGTAGTTCATAGAGAACTAATTGCTTGTGTCCTCAACAATCTCCAATTGCCGGAAGAGATAGCTATTGTACATGTTCCAGGGCATCAAAGGGACTTGTCTTTCACAAGTCGGGAAAATAATCTCACAGATCAGATAGCAAAGCAAGTTGCTGTTTCTTCCAAAATGCCTGTTTTTCATATAACTCCATGCCTGCCTTCTCCTACTGCAACCCCCATTTTCTCTTCCATTGAAAAAGAGAAGTAGGCTGGGCGCGGTGGCTCATGCCTGTAATCCCAGCACTTTGGAAGGCTGAGGCGGGCGGATCACGAGGTCAGGAGATCGAGACCTTCCTGGCTAACACAGTGAAACCCCGTCTCTACTAAAAATACAAAAAATTAGCCGGGTGAGGTGGCGGGCACCTGTAGTCTCAGCTACTTGGGAGGCTGAGGCAGGATAATGGCGTGTACCCGGGAGGTGGAGCTTGCAGTGAGCCAAGATCAGGCCACTGCACTCCAGCCTGGGCGACAGCGAGACTCCGTCTCAAAAAAAATAAATAAATAAATAAAAAAGAAAAAAGAAAAAGAGAAGTAAATAAGAATAGGAACTAAAGAGAACACAGAAGGGAAATGGATATTACCAGATCAAAGGGAGATGTTGTCAAAACCTCTCATGAGGGAGGTCTTGTCTCAATTACACCAGAGGACCCATTGAGGACCCCAAGAAATGTGCGATGCAGTTCTCTGGGTTTGTGGGTGTATAGGAATTTACACCCAGGCCAAACAAGTTATAGATAGTTTCTTAATATGTAAAAAGACTAATAAGCAGATTCTAAGGAAATCGCCCCTTGGAGGAAGGAATCCAGGGCTAAGACCATTTCAGAATGTTCAGATTGATTATACTGAAATGCCCCCAATTGGTCGTTTAAAATACTTATTAGTAATAATAGATCACTTTACCCACTAGGTAGAGGCTATCCCATTCTCAAGTGCAACCGCCAATAATGTAGTTAAAGCATTAATTGAAAACATCATACCCAGATTTGGACTAGTAGAAAATATTGATTCAGATAATGGAACCCATTTCACTGCACATGTCATTAAGTTAGCCCAGGTACTAGATATAAATTGGGACTATCATACCCCTTGGCATCCATCCTCCTCAGGAAGATTAGAGTGGATGAATCAGACTCTAAAAAAACACTTAACTAAGTTAGTTTTAGAAACTCGATCGCCATGGACTGAATGTCTTCCTTTTGCTTTGTTAAGAATCCAGACTGCCCCTCAGAGACATATTGGCCTTTCCCTTTATGAAGTGCTTTATAGATTGCCCTACTTACACTCCACTGCTGACATCCCTACATTTGAAACGAACAGTTCCTCAAAAATTATATACTTGGTCTATCCTCTACTTTCTCTTCCCTTAAGACTGAAGGTCTCCTAGCACAGGCGCTGCCCCTGGAGTTTTCAGCACATCAGCATCAGCCTGGAGACCACGTCCTCATCAAAGGGTGGAAGGAAGGGAAACTCGTACTAGCTTGGGAAGGACCCTACCTAGTGCTCCTAACTACTGAGACTGCAGTCCGAACAGTGGAAAGAGGATGGACTCATCACACCCGAGTCAAAAAGGTGCCACCACTTCTAGAATCATGGACTGTCACTCCAAGGCTCACCCCCACCAAACTAACTCTAAAAAGAGCTTAGTAATCACTTGTTTATTTTCTTTTTTTCTTTTCAACAGAAGGTCATCTTGTCATCAACGTAACTCAGGCTAGCCACCCTTTAACCCTTCAGTTCGATGCCTGTTCAGTCATCCCATACGGAGACAAGCAAGCTCAAAGGAAGCTATCCCATGTTGATAAGTATCTATGTCCATACCGCAAAGAGTCAACCAAGTATAAGTATGGAGCTTTAAAAGGTCCCTGTAGTGACTGGGCAGATGTTTGGTAGACTACTAAGTACAAAGGGTGGACAGCTAGACCCTCTGCTTCAAATAGGTTATGGGAACTAAAACAAAAACTCCAACTAGTCCGTGGTCCCACCCCACCAAATTGTAAGCCATTACACGGTAACCCCTTGTTGCTGATTATAAATAATCCCCAGACAAAGGCCCAAGAACCCTCTATATTCGAACGGTCTGGGTTAGGAGCAGATGCTGCAGGACAGGACCCTGTAGGAATCTTCTCGCTGAGGTTAGTTAAACCACTGGTTAACAGTAATAAAGGAATTCAGACCCAGAGTCTGGGAGACACGTGGAACCCAACGCTGTCCCCAAGTATAGCGAGTCCAACGTCCTCCTCCCATCTCCAAAATGACCCAACCGGTTGTGGAAGTAGAAAACTTAAGGCAAACAATAGCTCTAGAGACAGGATATCAAGATGCAAATGCTTGGCTGGAATGGATTAAATATTCCATCCGCACTTTAAACAAAAGTGAATGTTACGCTTGTGCGCATAGTAGACCAGAGGCCCAGATTGTCCCCTTTCCACTTGGATGGTCTTCCAGCCAACCAGGCATGAGCTGTATGGTAGCTCTCTTCCAAAACTCCTCAGCCTGGGGCAACAAATCATGCCAAGCTCCTTCTCTGCTGTACCCTGAAGTTCGACACCCTGCGGGTCAGCCCCCGAGGGCCATTCAGTGTCCATCTCCCAATGCCAGTTTTACTTTGTGTCTCTCATGATGGGGAGAAAACTTGGGGTTCCTGGGAGCCTTAACAGGATGCAGTGAGCTTAAGCCCTTCCAAGAGCTTACGCATGTCTGCCCTTAGCCGTCCTTGAGCAGATGTGTGGTGGTATTTTGGTGGACCAATACTGGACACTCTGCCAAGTAACTGGAGTGGAATTTGTGCTCTAATTCAATTGGCCATCCCTTTCACCCTGGCATTTAATCAACCAGAAAGCATAGGAACCAAACAGTGTCAAACAAGAGAGGCCCCTGATAAGTCCTTCAATTCTCCTGTTTATATAGATGCCATTGGGGTCCCAAGAGGGGTGGCAGTTGAATTTAAGGCCTGAAATCAAATAACTGCTGGATTTGAATCTATGTTCTTCTGGTGGTTAACTGTAAATAAAAATGTGAGTTGGATAAATTACATTTATTACAATCAACAATGATTTATTAATTATACTAGAGATGCTATTAAAGGGATAGCTGAACAATTAGGACCCACTAGTCAAATGGCCTGGGGAAATAGGATAGCATCAGACATGATACTAGCAAAGGAGTGTGCAGTTTGTGTCATGATCGGGACCCAATGCTGTACTTATATCCCTAATAATACTGCTCTCAGCAGGACCATAACTAAAGCATTACAAGCTCTTACTGCCTTATCAAATGAGCTAGCCAAAAATTCTGGACTAAACGATCCCTTCACAAATTTAATGAGAAATTGGTTTGGTAGATGGAAGGGACTTATGTCCTCAATCCTCATCTCTCTGGCCATCAGAATAGGGTTGCTTATTCTTGTAGGATGCTGTATTATACCCTGTGCCTGAGGACTAATACAAAGACTTATTGAAACAGCTCTCACTAACACTTCTTAGGATCCTCCTCCCCCTTATTCAAATGAGCTTTTCCCTCTAGAAGACCAAGTAGAACAGTGGAGCCAAATTATGCTAAAAAGATTTGAAGAGAAAGAGTTATAAAAAGAAGAGGAAAGCTGTGGGATATGATGAGATTTCTCTTCAAGTAGCCTGATCAATCCTTTATTCTTTAATTCATAGTACACCCCCCATCCCTTTTTGCTTTCTCTCTTTTTTTCTTTCTGCCTTTGTTACATGCCAAGACATGCCACAGCACCAGGCGTTATCAGTACCAGCTCACCTTCCTTTCCTTATTTGGAAAGAAGACTAGCTCTCTAGCTCATTGCACACACTCCTTCCCCTTTCCCCTCTCTCCCTTATGTGCCCACCTTATCTAAAAAAAGTTAAAATGTTTAGCCAACCAGGATTAGTTTAGATTGTATGGCCTGACCCTGGCCAATGGGGAAAGGGTACGGGGCCGGACTTGCATCAGCAATAAAGGCTCTCATGCCCCTTTGTTTGGGTGTGCTCTCATGGTGACTGGCCAAGGAGAAGCACCCCTCTGCACAGAAGTAAAATTGCTTTGCTAAGAATCCTTTGTTTGAGTGTTCAGTTTCCTTAGGATTTTGAACATTATTCCCAACAGGTCTATATTTTTAGTATGAAAATCTTAATTTTAGTATGTTTACAGTGAATATTTGAGCTCTTTGTTTAGTCAGTGTTGCCTCCTGTGTTCACATCTTTTTGTTGTTGAAATATATTATTTAGTAATTTTCAGTGAGGGTATGTGAGTGATAAATTTTGTAAGTCTGAAAATATACTTATTTTGCCATAACTGGTGAGAGGATTTTGTAAATATGAATTCCAAGTGACAATTATGTCCCCTTAACACTGGGAGATTTCAACCCATTGTCTCCTGGCATCTGTTAGAGCTTATTAGAATCTTTGAGCAATTTCCTTACCTTTCCTTATATCTTTTACGCTTTGTTTTCTTGATTTTTGCATCATCACCGCCACAGCTTATCTAGTTGAGGATTTATTTCGGTCCCTCTTGTTTGGCTTTCCACTCAGAAAAAAAACAAAAAACCAAACCAAAACAAAAAAACCTCCTGTCTTTTTTAATGCTAGAAAATTCTTGGCCATTATTTATTTGTGTATTGCTTCTCCTTAATTCCCTCTACTTTTAACTTTGGGGGTACTTGTTAGACATATGTTGGAATCTTTTGATCTAGTCTCCATATCTCTTACTTCTTCAGACTTTTTAATCTTATTTTCTCTGGGTAAAGTCTTCAGAGAGCTTCTAATCCACCAATGCCAAGTTTAATTCACTAGTTCAATTGAACTGTCTGCAATCTGGAGTTTATTGTATCTGTCTCCATCCATTTTTAAAAAAATTTCAATGACCAAATTTTTATTATCCAGAATTGCAATGGACTTTTAAAATGTTCATTTCTTCTTCTTCTTTTTTTTTAATGGAAGACTTTTTTTTTTTTAATTGGACTACAAGAAGCCTCAAATGAAAACCCTGACCAGTCACCTTCATCATAGGCTGCTGTTTACAGCCTGACTTGGGAACATCCACTCCATGTTGTCACTGCCCTTCCATCAGCTGTAGGTAGGGTATGGGCACTACAGTATAAGATTATATTAATTATGCCAACACCTTGGAAGAGATAATACAAGCTGTTGTACACGGCTACCAAGGCAACTCCACATTTTGATAACATGGGCTTATTTTGGATTCTCTTTAATTTTAAAAAGTG